>NT_167248.2:300000-516304 GCF_000001405.40 Homo sapiens
TTGTCTTTTCATTATTTTATTTGTTTCCCTGACTGTACAGGAGCTCTTTAATTTGATATAATCTCATTTATTTATATTTGCTTTTGTTGACTGTGCTTTTGAGGTCATATCCAAAAAATCATTGACCAGATCAATGTCATGGAGCATTTCTATGATTTCTTTTAGTAGTTTAATAGTCTTATGTTTAAGTCTTTAATGCATTTTGAGTTGATTTTTGTATATGGTTTGAGGTATGCATGTAATTTCGTTCTTCAACATGTGGATATTCAGTTTTTCAACACCGTTTATTGAAGAGACTGCCCTGTCCCCATTGTGTGTTCTTGGCACCTTTGTTGAAAATCAATTGATTGTAAATGTATGGATTGATTTTTACGCTATTTTGTTCCATTGGTTTTTGTGTCTGTTTTTATGCCAGTATCCTGTTGTTTTGATGACTATAGGTTCACAGTAGATTTTGAAGCCAGGTATTATGATGCCTCCCGTTTTTTTTTGTTTGTTTGTTTTTTGATTCAAGGTTACTTTGGCTATGGATTTTTGTGGATCCAGACAAATTTTAGAATCGTTTTTTCTATTTCTCTACAAAATGACATTGGTACTTGGATAGAGATTGCATTGAATCTTTATTTGGGGTAGTATAGGTATTTTAAAAATACTAATTTTCCCAATCCATGAACATGAGGTATTTTTCAATTTTTGTGTCTTTTGTAATTTTAAATATCAGTGTTTTATAGTTTTCAAGTGTACAAATCTTTCACCTCCTCGGTTAAATTTGCACCTAGTTATTTTAATTAATTTATTTTTTAATTATGATTGTTTACTTAATTTCTTCTCAGATGATTGTTAGTGCATAGAAACACTACTGATTTTTGTATATTGATTTTGTAACCTGTAACTTTACTGAATTTGTTTATTTGAATAGCTTTTTTTGTTGTTGGAGTTCTTAGGGTTTTCCAAATAAAGGATCATGTCATCAGAAGAGACAGTTTCACTTCTTCATTTCCAATTTGTATGCCTTTTTTTCTTTTTCTTGCCTAACTGCTCTGGCTAGGACATTCAGTACTATGTTGAACAGAAGTGGTGAGCGTGGGCATCTTTATCTTGTTCTGGATCTTAGAGGGAAAGCTTTCAACTTTTTATCATTATGATATTAGCTGTGGGCTTGTAATATATGGCTCTTATTGTGTTGGCAAAAATAGATTCTCAGAATATAATCTCCAGATTTTGTAATCCACTGATACAATTACATACTGATTACCTACTCTGTAATATGGAATTTAAAAAATTCCATGTGTGATTTTCTAACTCTATCATAGGTCGGTAACCTCTATACATCTGGAAAGGCTAGATGTGGCAAATGTTTCCTTGTAAAAGTTTTGGGGGAAGCTGAGAGCAGCTTTCTCACATTATACACGCAGGTCTCCTATAAACGCCGGTACATCCTCCCAAAGCGTGATGGGAATCTCCAAATCGCTAAATGTGTCCTGTTACTCCGTTTCTCTTTTCCCACATCAACGTCTGGTAGAAGGAAGGCCAACTGCCCCATGGTCGCTACCATTCCACCCGTCCTCATCCGGGACTTCGCTGACCTTCCGGCCGTTAAGGCTGTTGTCTGTTGTCATCAGGACCAGGTAGGTCTCACCCAATTGGGACAGAGAGGTCCCCCGAGGACAGCATCTGCGCGGCGCCGTGGCCTAAAGAGGAGGCCAGGCCTCTCCCTAACTCCGCCTTCGCGGGCCCTGCACCCCAGCAGCCTCTGCGTGTTTCTTCCCGCCCGGCACACCCGCGGCCATCCAAAGGTGCTGTGTGCCGGCGGCCACCAGGTCACCGAGGTGGGGTGGGGAAGACAGGTTCGCCGCTGCTTCAGGCCTGGGATCTCTGCTGGAACTCTCTACATTTTTTAATCAATTTAAAATTTATAATAATGTATGTTTTTTAGGTATTGTTTTTACTGACAAATTTTATTTCTAGATCTTTCATCAGTTTTCTCACGCTGGTCAACAAATAGGCCTTCATCACACACTAATTTGTAATGTCATTCTTTTCATATTTACTGTTGTAATGTAAAACACACTAGGGTCTGTTTTGAGGCAATGTTGTTTCAATCATATGCAAATCAAACTCTTTTTCTTTTTTGAGACAGAGCCTCACTCTGTCACCCGGACTGGAATGCAGTGGCACAATCTCTGTTCACTGCAGCCTCGGCCTCCCAGGCTCACGTAATCCTCCCACTACAGCCTCCCGAGTAGCGGGGACTACAGGCACAGGCCACCACGCCCGGCTATTTGTTTGTTTTTTGTGGAGACAGGGGTGTCTCACTCTGTTGCCCAGGCTGGTCTCCAACTCCTGAGTTCAAGCTATCCTCCTGCCTAGGCCTCCCAAAATGTTGGGATTACAGGCAGGAGCCACTGCTCTTGACCCCAAATCAAACCCTTAGTAATATTTGATAGTATTTCAGTGCTGGCCAGAGCAAATCCTTGCTTATTATTCGTTTATGAAAATGGCTTGACTCTTCTAAGCTGTAATTTGACCAAATAAATCTTGAAATAAATTTGTTACAATCCAAACACAATGCAGACAATTATTTGAAATGTCTGCATTTAAATTTATATTTAAAAGTTATTTTTTGAAGAATGTGGCATGTCTCATTTTATTTGTTTTTCCCTTTTTCTTGGTAAAGATTAATAATACCTTAAAAATGTTCAACATATGTTAAGTTCATCTTTATTGATATCATTTTATTTAATTGCTCATTGCTTATTGTTGTTAGGAGAGCTATATATGTATTTTTTAAATTAAATTTTTTTTTTTAACTTTTATTTTAGGTTTAGGGGTACATATGCAGGTTTGTTACTTGAGTAAATTGTGTGTTGCTGAGGTTTGGTGTTCAAATCATTTTGTCACCCAGATAGTGAGCATAGTACCCAATAAGTAGTTTTTCAATCCTCACCCTCCTTCCTCCTGCCACCCTCAGGTAGGCCCAGGTGTCTGTTGTTCCCCTCTTTGTGTCTGTGTGTACTCAATGTTTAGCTCATACTTATAAGTGAGAACATGTGGTATTTGGTTTTCTGTTTTTGCATTAATTCACTTAGGATAATGGCCTCCAGCTGCCATCCATGCTGTTGCAAGGGACATGATTTCATTCTTTTTATGGTTGCATAGTATTCTGTGGTGTATATATGTCACATTTTCTTTATCCAGTCCACCACTGATGGGCATCTAGATTGATTCTATGTCTTTGCTACTGTGAATAGTGCTGTGATGAACATGCGAGTGAATGTGTCTTTTTGGTAGAACAATTTTTATTTCTTTGGGTATATACCCAGTAATGGGATTGTTAGGTCAAATGGTAGTTCTGAGTTCTTTGAGAAATCTCTAAACTGTTTTCCACTGTGGCTAAACTAATTGAAATTCCCACCAGCCGTGTGTAAGTATTCCATTTTCTCTGCAACCTCACTAACATCTGTTATTTTTTGACTTTTTAATAATGTCCATTCTGACTGGTGTGAGATGGTATTTCATTGTGGTTTTGATTTGCCTTTCCCTAACGATTAGTGATACTGAGCATGTTTTCATATGCTTGTTGGACATGTGTATGTCTTCTTTTGTGAAGTGTTGGTTCATGTCTTTGCTCATTTTTAAATGGGGTTGTTTTTGCTTGTTGATTTGTTTAAATTTCTTATAGATTCTGGATATTAGACCTTTGTTGGATGCTTAATTTGCAAATATTTTCTCCTATTTTGTAGGTTGTCTGTTTAATCTGTTGGTAGTTTCTTTTGCTGTGCAGAAGATTTTAAATATTTATTCTGTATATTTCTTTTTCACGGAGTCTATAGGGATTTCTAATAACATAATTTTTTTGTGTTAAAAATGGAGTGGATTCTGTTATCTTAAAATAATGATAGTTTTCTTTCTTCTTATTTTTTGGGGGATATACCTGTATTTTTCAGCTAATGTAAAACAACAGAGTAGAAACTCTAGTTGATATTTGCTCTTAAGCATTTTAGTTCAGAGGGACTAAAAGCAAGGTGCAACAAATTAAGAAGTAATGAACAGTGTCTAATGAGAAAAATAGAGTGTGTTTTGAACTAGCCTAACCCAATTTGGTCATGCTCAGCAACAGGGTCATTTTTGGTAGTTAATCATAGTGGCTGAAAAAGGTGAAGTGGGCGTATGGTTAGCATTTACCACCACAATCCTATGTCCCAGTTATGATGAAAATGACTCTGATCAAATTCTGCCATGAATATAGAGATTAGTTAACCAGACATTAGCATAAGACAGTTTATGTCATCTTCTCTGTAAATTTAATAAATCCTCAGCTCTCTGCCCTTTAAAATACTCCAAAGTACCTTGTAGAAAGGTGTATTTGAAGAAGATAAGACAACAGAGGTAGGGTTTTACTTTCATGTCAGCATTGAGAAAGTGGAACTTATCCATAGTAGGACACAGGCCCATTTAGGGAACAAGTCTTGGGCACTACCCCTAAAGTTTAGGCTACACATCTTGCTAGGTTCTTATGCCCTTCATAGAAGAATAGGGAATGTTTCTAAAATATGTTAGATGACCCTCATATATTTGGTACCACTAATTTCAGGATGATAACTGATTTAAACCTCAATTATTATGTGAGTTGGCTAGGCATCAAATGTTGACCAAGAGGTAGATAACTGAAGGTCCTGTGGTAGCTGCCTTGGAGGGCAGCCTTTCTGGCTAAATGCTAGTTGACCTCCCCATCTAATAGTGTACATTTACTGATTAGAGCCACTCATGTCCATAAAATGTTATATATATATATATTTTTTTTTTTTTTTTGAGACGGAGTCTTGCTGTCTCCCAGGCTGGAGTGCAGTGTCATGATCTTGGCTCACTGGGCTCACTGCAAGCTCTGTCTCCCGGGTTCACGCCATTCTCCTGCCTCAGCCTCCCGAGTAGCTGGGACTACAGGTGCCCGCGACCACGCCCAGCTAATTTTTTGTATTTTTGGTAGAGACGGGGTTTCATCATGTTAGCTGTGATGGTCTCGATCTCCTGACCTCGTGATCCACCGCCTCGGCCTCCCAAAGAGCTGGGATTACAGGCGTGAGCCTCTGTGCCCGGCCCATAGAATGTAATATTTGAATGAATAAATGCACTTATATCAATAGCCTGACAAAGTGTTTTAAAGTATACTACAGTTACCATGACAAAGTGTTTCTCTGAAGAAACTTGTCTATGAAGAATAATGAGATTGGTAAGAAAACATAAATAAAAAGAACTACCAAGGAACATTTCCATCCAACTGATTTTAAAGAGAATAAATTGACCTGGAGTTAATTACCTAGTAGAATTAATTTCTACACAGTGATTTGGAATTTGGGAGTACAATTAGTGAAAACAGGTACTGGAATTGCTCCAGTGTTGGGAATGGACCCACATATTCATAAATGGGTACTTATTGGTACTAGAAAATTTTCTACACAATTACTCTACATTAAATATTACTCCAGGTTTTCAGGACATGGAAGTAGCTTCTTTTTAAAAAATCCTTTTCATGTTACTTCTCCACCTAGATAGTTTCAAAAAGTGTATTATTTTTCAATTTCAAAATTTTATTCATTGAAACATAAACTTGGTCAGTTCTATTCAAGACATCAATATAAAGAGAAATCACTGAATTGTAGAAAGGTTTGTATAAATTAAATTGTAAAAGTGTGAGCTAAAAATATGCATTATTAATACAGAAAGCTTCTTAGTAATAATACCAAATATGTGCTCCTTATAATCACATGGATCAAAATTGTATACTCTTTAGTTAAGGGATGTAATGGGGAAAAATAGAAGATTGGAATTGTTTTAATTGCATCTGTGTTCTGAGGAATGGAGCAGCAGCAGCAGAAGAAAAGGTGTTCTTTTACTTAAAACAACAAATTCTATTTTCTAATGCAAGGTGAGTGTATCTTTACCCCTTATTCTAGTGTTTATAGAAGATAGAGCCAGACAAATATTTCTCTCTAAGTGATAGTGACATTATTCCTTCACAGACACTACAGTTGAAAGAATTGGAGGTCCTAGGTCAGAGACAAAGACAGATTGGAATAGAAGTTGGGACCGAAAGTAAATAAGATCTTCCAAAACATGGAGCAAGGGGGACCTAAAAAAGCAGACATCCAGAGAGCAAAGCTCTGTGGTAGGGATTGCTAAGGAATTTTAAGAAGTCAAATATTCATTAGGCAATGTTTTCCTTTTTATCCTGCAGTATAATCCTCCTTTATTATTCCCAGTTCTTTATGAAAATCCCACTAACTGCATTCCCCACTTGTTAGTGGTACTTTAGAGAATAAAAGAAAATAGGCTTGGTTCACTGGCAAGAGGACAAGAAATAGTCTTTAAGTGGAGAAGAAGCTGTTTCGTACAGTAGAAATTGGTAAGGACAGTGGCCACAGGGACTCAACTGTGAGAGGAGGTTAAAAATTTATCAGGAGCAGTATTTTAAACAAAAATCCTCAAAAATAATAGAATCCTTCTCCCATAGAAAATAATTTTCAGAAATACAATGGAGAGTGTCAGAATTTCTTCAGAAAGTAGAAAGAATTTTAAAATTTAACTTATGCAGGTTGGGCACGGTGGCTCACGCCTGTAATCCCAGCACTTTGGGAGGCCGAGGTGGGTGGATTACCTGAGGTCAGGAGTTCGAGACCAGCCTGGCCAATATGGTGAAACCCTGTCTCTACTAAAAATACAAAAGTTAGCCGGATGTGGTGGCACACGCCTGTAGTCCCAGCTACTCGGGAGGCTGAGGCAGGAGGATGGCATGAACCCGGGAGGTGGAGGTTGCAGTGAGCTGAGATTGTGCCACTGCACTCCAGCCTGGGCGACAGAGACAGACTCCATCTCAAAAAAAAAATTAACTTATGTATTAATACAAAAACCAATATCAGAAATGCCAGAGACCTGGATGAACTGATATCTATAAAAGTGATAAAATGAATCAATGTACTTCAGTAAGTTGGGTACATATTTAGACTTATAAATTATCAGCATCTATACCCAGGTATTGCTTGAAAAATGTTACCAATTAATAATTAGCTTAATTTTTACAGCATGTTTGAAAATTTGATATGCCATATCATTTTTATGCAACATACTTCAATAATACATGTCAGTAAATTTATTTAAGATATAAATATTCATTGTAAAGTAGGTAAATGTATGTACTTGCAAAGATACCCAAACACATCAATTAAAATAATGGGATTAGAATTGGATAATAAGTGCATATATATGTATTTGACCTCTAGAGGTTCCTGTACTTCAAAATTCATCACTATATGACAATTGAGTATCATAGCATCTTCTGCTTGAATCCATTTATAAGTTTTTGTTTAAGAAATGAGAGAAAATTAATAATTGTTATGAATATAAACAGATACAGTAAAAATGGCATTTCATTTTCTCTAGATATTCGTGATTCTCTGAATTTGAATAATGTATTTTTTAGATTATAGTCTTCTAAAGAAGAGAAATATTGAAAGAATTAGCTATTTACTTGCACTGAGGGGAGTCATTATGTGCATTTTCTACTATGGTTTTCTTAGTCCACCACTCCTCAAGTTATGATGGTTGACTCAGAAGGGTTGCTTTTATCTTTAATCATAAATCATTATGAATTTCCTTGTCTGAACTAGTCAACATCTACCATGTTGTGGTTAATTGGTACCAATCAGAGTTGAACTTCTTGTGGAAGAATCTGGAGATGTCCATATGAAAGGAAAATAGGCAATAAACTAGATTGTATTATATTGCATTTTTCCAACACTAGGCATATGTGGTTTTGAAAATTACCTATTTACTGAGTGTTTTGTGAGTGGCAGAAACATTTTCCTGCCCTGGCCAAGGGCTAACCTTAGAAAAAGATAAATGTGATGGGTATAAAATCTAAGAGAGCTGACTTAGTTTCAGGATATTGTTAAGCCCGTTGAGACTGGTGCTCCACAACAGTAATTAAGCATAATTATGATGCAGGTCAAGGTAAGACATTTCCGAAATTTTCTAGGACATGTTTTTGAAGGCTTGGGATATTCTGCTTAGCTCATATTTGTGTATGTTTTTTTTAGTTAAAAATGATAACAAGATGATTTTTGCTCTGTTTACAAACATTTGCATGAACACTGAAAAATTCATCCAAATCGTTAAAAATATTCAATGCCTACTAAGAGTCATGGAACCCTATTATATGATGGTGAATCGAGAAAGAACTATACAAAATTATGCTTTCAAGAAACTTATAATTACATTGGCTAGAGGCTTATCAGTTCTATAAATAATATTTACAAAACAATGCAATTCTAACCTTCATAGAGATTTGTATGGCTTGTTAAGAGAACCATAGTCTAAGACAATGGGCTTCAACGGGGGGGCACACTCTGGGATGCAGAGACTTTTGTAGGGTTATAAAGTTAGTTTTAAGGAAATAACTTCCAGATCCTCCTTGTTCCTTTGTTTTCTTCGCTAACATTTTCTTGAGGAAATGCCAGGTTGAGGAGTTAGACAGGTTCTCTTTCCAGCCTTCACTTTCAAAGATCCCTTCTCCTCCTTCACAAAAGAAAGGCATAATTACCATCTCTCCTGATCTTACTGTAACATATTATCCACATTGTGAAAACCAGTGGTACACCAAAGAAAGGGACAACTCAAAATGCTAGTGGTGTGCTGCTCATCATTAAAGATGACATGATGGAAGAGAAAATATATATTTTTAGATTCTAGCAGTGTGTCTTTCTAGATCTATCTAGATTGGCTACTATTATTAAATAATGGGCACTTTTAGAGAAAGGTATCAGATCATGGCAAAAATAAAAGTTTAATTAAAAAGTAATCACATTGTCCCATAAAAGCTAAATATTATATTATGATAAATAGAAATAAAAAGATTTATTCTGTTATGCAATTCCACTACATATAAACATTACCACATTTCTAAAAATTCACGTAAATCCGCCAGTTCCACAGATGTATGTCAAAAGCCTAACTGGTTTCAAACTAGTCATATTATCTTTCCATTAAGTTGAGACAATCATGGAATAAACATTTAACGAATGAAAGAGAAATTGATAAGACTGTGTCATTACCTTTAAAACCCTTTAATTTGTGGCTTTATATTACGATAGAGTAGTAATAGACTTAAATAGCAGAGACCCTTTACTCAAGATATCGATTTGAAATTTCATTGAAAAAAGAGTGAATTGTTTTAAATGGGGCTTATGACAATTACTGTCTTATAAACTGCACTGTTTGCATCAAACACAAATAAATATTTGGGTGGCATTACAAAAGATTGGGTGTACAAAATCATTATTGTGTATATGTATATTTTTTCTCAAGCTCCAATAGAATGAACATTATGGGTATATTATTTAATATACACACCATAATGTATATGAAACCATTTGCTCAGGTCTATACTTTGGAAGAGGCAAGGATTAACATTGAAAATACAAAACTAGATAACCAAAACAGTTTCTATGTGGTTTTAGAATAAATTAAATGCATTCAAATTTATGTTTACATCCCATTTGTGTTTTATTTCAAGCAAAAATAAAATTTCTAATGATCTGTTTTCTCTGATGATATACCAATGATCAGGGACATAAAGGAGCTAAGTAGAATGGTTGTAATTTTGTTTGCATCTACAAAATGTTTGTATATAATAATTATATTTATGGATCTCCATGACCTAGGAATTACTTGCATTTGTAAAAATTAAAGAAAATTAGAAAACATATTTAATTGCCTTATTCACTCTAGTCTTTATCTATGACTTGCAATTCCTCTTTATTTTTGTAGATTTGTGGTGAAATCTCATCAGTTTCTTCAGGGCATCCTTCATGTCCTTATTTCTTAAGGTGTAAATGAGCGGGTTGAGACTTGGAGTGATGACGGTGTAAAAGAGGGTGAGGAACTTGCCCTGGTCTTTGGAAGCCCTGTTACCTGGTTGCAGGTACATGTAGATAATAGTTCCATAGAACATAGACACTACAGTAAGATGAGATCCACAGGTATTCATTGCTTTTCGCTGGCTTGCTTTTGACTTCGTTCTCAGCACAGCTTTGGCAATGTAGCCATAGGATATAAGAATAAGGATGAGAGGTGTGAGGACAATTATAATGCCTAAAGCGAAAACAGACATTTCAACTGTTGTGGTGTCTACACAAGCTATCTTGACCAGAGCTGGCAACTCACACAAGAAATGATCCAGAATGTTGTTTCCACATGTGGGCAAATTCAGAGTGAGTGTACATAATACTACAGAATTGGCCAAACTAATACTCCAGATCATGATAATCATCTTTAGACATAGATGTGGGTTCATGACTACAAAATAATGCAAGGGCTTACATATAGCTGTAAAACGATCATAGGACATAACAGCCAGGAGAAGGCACTCAACTGAGCCCAACCACATGTAAACATAGAGTTGGATGATACAACCCACATAGCTGATGGTCTTATCAGGTCCCCACAAGTTGACCAGCATCTGAGGGATGATGCTGGTTGTGAAACATAGATCTAGGAAAGATAAATTTCTGAGGAAAAAGTACATTGGTGTATGAAGCTGGGAATCCAGGAGAGATGCAAGAATGATGGCTGTGTTACCCACCAATGTAATTAAGTAGAAGATGGCGACAACTCCTGACAGGATCATCTCCATTTTTGGATGGTTAGAGAAGCCAAGCAGAATAAAACCATGTAAAGAACTATAATTGCTTTGGTCCATAGTCCTTCAATGTCTAAATCCTAGAGTGAGAAAAGGAGGAGGAGGAGGTAGATGATGATACAAGGATAAGGAGAAGGAAGAAGAAGGAAGAAGAGGTAGAGGAGGAGAAGGAGGAGGGAGAGGAAGAAGAAAAGGAAAAGAGGAAGAAACAATTTGTCAACATGAACTATCTAAATAATTTGATAAAATTAGAACTAAACAAAGAGAGATAATTTATGTTACTAATTGAAAAAATTTAATGGATAAAAGTAAAAATTACAGCCAAGAAATCTGCTATTTGTCATAGATTCTTTTATGGCAATGAGTTTAATATTAGATTTTTTAAAAAAAATCCAGGTGACCTTGGGGAGTTCACTTTTAAACTTGAGGTCTGAATTATCTAACGTGTAGATTTGAAAGTTTGAAATAGATGCTGGTTCTAAAATGACCCTATGATTCTTTATAAGCTAGTTAGCTTGATAAAATGAACATATTCTTTTATTTGATCAGTAAATTCACCTATAAAATTTAAGTACTGGGCTAATGGTAGGATGAGGAAAAGATGTGATAACCTGGAGGATGAACCTGGGGACATCATGCTAACTGAAGTAAGCTGAAAGACAAATATTGCATGATTTCATTTATATATGGAATCCAAAAAAGTTGAACTCATAGAGGTAGAGAGTGGGGGCAGGAGATGGATGGGAAAAGGGGAGATGTTGATCAAGGGTACTAAGTTTCAGTTAGAAAAAAGGAACCAGTTTTAGTGATCTCACAGAATGGTGACTACAATAAACAATAATGCATTGTTTATTTCAAAATTACTAAGAGTAGATTTTAAGTGTTTTCACCACAAAAAATAAGTATGTTAGGTGATGGGTTTGTTAATTAGCCTGATTTAATCATTACACATTATAAACATATATTAAAACATTATATTGCACCCCATAAACATATACAATTGTTGCTTAATTAAAAATAAACCTTAAAAAAGAGTGAGGAAAGATTGTTCTTCTTTTTTCATATCTTAGTGACTAAGCACCTTTGATCTCCTAGTTTGTTATGTAGGACATCTGGTGTTTACCCTTGGACGCCTTGTCTCTCTCATTCTTAACGCCTTATCACCAAAACTGGTAAATTTGGATGCAAATATATATGCTAATTATCCTATCACTTTAAAAAATCCCTACCACCACAACCCTAATTCAAATCACTATGATTTCTTTTCTGGATTCTGGCAATAGTCTTGCATCCAGTCCTTGCATCCAGTCTTATGCCTTTACATTGTTACAACATTTGATGAAATCATGTCATCCATCTCCTTAAAACTTGTCAGCCACTTTACACTACATTTAAGAAATACTATATTGTATACTTAAAATTTTGCTAGGAGGGTAGATCTTATGTTAAGTGTTCTCATCACACGCACACACATACACAACACAATAAAGAAGGTGGGAGGAAACTGTTGGAGGTGATGGATGTATATATGGGATAGATTGTGTTGATGGTTTCACAGGTATATACTCACCTTCAAACTCATCAAGTTGTATACATTAAATCTGTACTGCTTTTGTATGTCAGTCATACTTCAATAAAGTGGTCAAAAAGCTAATATAAAACATTTGGTTAAAAAATAACAGCCATTAGCCAGGTGTGGTGGCGTACTCCTATAGTCCCAGCTACTCAGGAGGCTGAGGCGGGAGGATCACTTGAGCCCAGGAGTTTGAGGTTGCGGTGAGCTATGATTGCACCACTGCACTCCACCCTGGGTGCTGGAGCAAGATCCTGTCTCAAAAACAAACAAAACCCAGATAAATATCAAACTGGTGCTTCTTCTCTCTCTTTATATAGATGTAGTACAAAAAGTTGTGCTTTTTTTGTTTGTTATGCCATTTCAAATATGTTTTTTTGAATGTTATTAAGAAATTACTTCCAACTGTGGCCATGATTCAAAAGTGGATACATTTGTGAGACTAACCGGAGATGGTGGTTGAAATAGCCGTTTTGAGAAAATCATTTTGTGATTTCTTTAGCATTAGCTTTTCAAAAATTATGATTTGATTCTGAGTTTTGCCATTAATCAAATTGGATAGAAAGAAAAATAATTCTCTGAAAGATATTTCAAGCTGTCACACCCCATTAAAGTTCCATAATGTCTGAGCAGGGGCATCAATAATTAATGCTTATTTATTTTAACAGACTCGTTGATGTGTATAATTGTGCCTAACTTCTGAATAAAATAGGGCTTCAGTTAAAATTATATAAAAACCTGAAAATTCTTTTAAAATTAAAATCAATATTATGCTGTTAATTTCTTAACTATTTCATTATTACTACAGTCCATAAAGATTAACTCAGGAAAGAATAAAAATCCTCCTTCTGCCTATTAAAAAGTGACATAGAAAAATCTTCAAATAAATTTTCATGCACAGTATGAGATTTAGAAATGGATACATAAAATCTGAGTCCTTTATGGCTCCACAACCTTCAAGAATAAAATATTTTGCTGACAAGTTTCACAAATGGCATTAAAAAACAAAACAAAACAAAATTAAAAACAAGTATCTGAATTCTTCATTTTCAATTTAATCTATCTTTCTCGCTTTTGTTTCTGCTGGATCAATATTTATTCTCAGACTTCTGAAATAAAACCAGCCCATACAGATCTAAGTTCTTTTTCTTCTACTTTCTACAAATTGTTTTACCAATCCAGGCATACTGTTTCTCCAAGAGATTAAGGATGAACATTACTGTGATCCAGAGGGAGTTCCTTTGCCATTCTACTTCTCGACTTTTGTAGAATCCACACTATGGAAAATAGATCCCGGTTAAGCATTTTTTTCTCCAGGGCTGTAAATTTCTCATGATTTCCCTGCAGTGCCACGGAGAATTCTGCTTTTCCCAAAGTGTGTTAGGGTAGAGATTCTCAACAGGACTCCTCCTTCTCGAATATATGACTTCAAGTAAGAGGATGAAACCTGTCACAAATTCTTACTTCTTGTTCTGAGTTTAAATCAACCTGCAAGTAGGTCTTGACCATAGAGAAACATTAGGAAAAGCAACCGGATAATTCAGAATCAGAATTGAACAAAATTTCCCAGTATTACCTGAAGACTCAGATAATCAAAAAGATTATCTAAACCATTGGGACTGCATCCAATTAACTTTACTAGAGTACAGTGTCATAGAAAATGCCAGCCTAGAATTAGACCATACCCTAATATTTCACTAGGGCAGGTTTAGTAGATGTAAAAGTTATTTAATATGAAGGAAAACTATAGGACAAAGAAATAAGAAAATGTATTTTCATATTTTTTTGGTTGTGAATGTATTATAATATAAAATTTACTCTTAAATAATGTAGATTTCCAACACTACAATTATACTTAGCTACAGAAAAATCTTACCATTCAAAGCACAAATATTGATTGTGGAACTAAACTTGCTCTGAGCAGATATCATTTAAATGAGGTACCTCTAGTGGTTATCTCTGATACCCATGGTCAGAACAGTTGTATTTGAAAGAGATGTTTAATCCCCAAAGCTCTAAACAGTAAGACCAGAATCATAAGATTTACATTTTTTCTCAGTTGTTTTGGTGACCATGAGGGATGATTCAAATACTTCATTGTCTACGACAATTAGTTTTGTTATTGTCTCAGAGGTCACTATTTACACATTAAATTCTAGAGTAAGTATATACTATGAAAATTTTTGTGAGTTGGCTTATAATCATAGGTTTTAACAGCTTCCTTAAATTAAAATTACATATCAGTAATAATTGGTTTTAATAAAATACATAAGCACGAATTGGCTGCCTCATGATACATGTTCAAATGTGGATGACATTACTGATCAATAAAATAATTTTAACTATCTGCTTCTGTACGATAATCAATATATTTTACACTTGAGATATAGTATAGTGTAATGGTTAGATGGATAGATTGTGGAGCCAGACTTTCTGGGCTGAAATCCTGGTGGCTACAGTTACCAGATGTGTGAACTTGGGAAAATTACTTAACCTTCATTGCCTCCGATTTCTTATCTATAATAGGGGATATTATAATACATAATTTAAAGGGCGAATGTAAGGATTCAATAAGTTTAACATATGTAAATACTACAGTACTGGTTGGCACACAGCATCCAAATAAGTATTAACTGTTACAATTTCAATCAGTTCAGGGTGTCTGTGTGCTGCAGAAATATTTGGGGAAAGTTTATGCTGATATTTGATAAAACATCTGGAAAATACTCTCCTTATAAGCACTTCCTTTAGGATTTTATATATAATACACACATATATGAAATATATATACTATATACATAGTATATACATATGTATGTGTATGTATTCTTTATAAATGCTATAATAATGATGATAAAAAGAAACATAACATCTACTAATGGTACATTTTTGTCTATCAAGATTCTAAACATCTGAATACTTGAAACTGTTCACTTTGACTGGAGATCTCAGTTTCACTTATGTATTTTTCTCTTCCCCTTTAGTCAAATTTTCTACAGTTCTCCTTTTTCTTTTAAAAACCACTTTAAAGTTATAATTGAATTTCACAATTTCAATTCAACCATAGCAAATATTCAATTTTCATTTGAAAAACAAAAATGTATATAAATTGTCATGCCCACCCATGTTTCTGGTTTAAATACATTCCTACACAGTGACTTTTCTAGTCCCTTGCTCCTTATTCTGTGATTAAAATCCATGGGTTTGTTACTCTGGAGAAATTATAGAGAAATCCTTTGGATTTTTGAATTAATTTTTAAAAAGGTTTTCATTTGTTATCAAAAAATGGATATACCCAGCTTGTAAAGCAGATGCCCTTGCCTTAAACTTTAATATAAGACCTTTCCATACCCCTTTGAATAAATCAAGACATGTTTTCCTGTTTCCTTTTTATTTAACAATTTTTTCCCTTGCTTACTTTAGCCCTTAACTTATGGAAACCATTTAAAGTGAAGTTATTAGCAGTGCTTCCACAACTGGCCGCATATCAGAGTAACTGTATTGGCTGGCATATGTAGAAATTTTAGAAATACAGTGTCCTGAGATTCCTATGCCCTTGCCAAAGGCTCAATTCTTTTCTGTTTATACTGTGTCCCTAGATAGAATCTTAGAGTTTTAAGGATTTGAATCCCATCTACATATTGATGGCTTTCAAGTGTCTATTTCCAGTCTTCTACATTGAGCATGGAATAGGTAGTTCCAACTGCCTAATTTCATGCACAAAATTATGAGTCTAAACATAGCTAAAATAGATCTCTTGATTGCACTGAATCTGCTCTCATTCCAGTCTTCCTCATTGTAGTAAATGATATAAACATGTACCTATTTCTGGCCAGAAACCAGTAATTAAGGAGTTATCCTTAATTACTAGCCTGCCCTCATCTTGAAAATCTGAATGATTCCAAGCTCGACTTCTCTCCATTTCCAGAATGACTAACAAACTGGGCCACCCTATTTTTCCTGGATTACCCAATGGATTACTATCTTGTTTCTCTGCTTTAATTCATTCCCCTTTCAATCTATTCTCCATATGGCGGCCAAAAGCGTTCTTTAAAAAAACCACACGTTGGCTGGGCGCGGTGGCTCACGCCTGTAATCCCAGCACTTTGGGAGGCCGAGGCGGGCAGATCACCTGAGGTCAGGAGTTCGAGACCAGCCTGATAAACATGGAGAAACCCCGTCTAACAATACAAAATCAACAATACAACAATACAAAATTAGCCGGGTATGGTGGCGCATGCCTGGAATCCCAGCTACTCTGGAGGCTGAGACAGGAGAATCGCTTGAACCCGGGAGACAGAGGTTGCTGTGAGCCGAGATCGCACCATTGCACTCCAGCCTGGGCGACAGAGCGAGACTGTGTCTCGAAAAAACAAAAAACAAAACCCAAGAAAACCAAAACCACAAATCAAGTATTTCCATTTGCCAATTTGAAATCTTTTTAGACTTCCTATGCACTTAACTATAAAATTCAGACTCCTTACCAAGAACTACCAGATGCACCTTGCCTGGCTCCTTTTCATCCCTCCCTCCTTCTCCCATTCGTCTCATGCCTTTGTCATTCCAGGGTTGCAGGTGTTAAAGTGTCTTTGCATTGAATTTCATTGGCCTGGCAGATTCTGTCCCCAAATTGAACTCCTTGTTTGTAATCGTTTTTCAGATATAATCTATTCAACGAGATCTTCCTTGACTACTTAATCTAAATTAAAATCCCTCCTCCCCAGCTAATCTCTATCACATTTCCATGTGTTTTTCGTAGCACTTATCACTCTAAATTTTGTTTTTTTTAAATGTATCTCCCCACAATTAAAACCTAAGATCCAAACGAATATGGATCTGATCCCCCTTTTTTGCCACGTAACTGAATGAATCAATTCAACAAATTTGATTAGCAATAGAAATATAGCAAACAACTAAATAGACAAAACAGTAAAGTCCCTGACTTAATGGAGCTTACTTTTATTTGTGAAAACAAGCTCATCAGCCAAATTATATATAGTGTTTTATTTGTTCATTGCTTTTTTTTTCTTTCTTTTTTTATATAACATCCCACCAAATAGAAACATTCTCTCTTTAGGAATAGTGTTCCGTGTAGATGTTGATTTCTTACTATGCAATTTTACGGACATTGTCTTCCAATATTTCCGTAGACTAATTGGTCAGGACCTGATAGCCCTGTGATAATGCTGCACTCAGCATTCCTTGATGATGCTATATTAGCTTCCAGTGGCTGTTTGGTGCCTGGAAGGGAGTCTAGCATGTAACAGGGATCAATAATTGTTTGTTGACTATAAAGCAGTTAGAACAATATCTGATGTGTATATTAAATATCCCATTCAGTCAAGGTTATCTAGGGTGATATATTCAAGAAATATAATGCTAACTCATTTATGTGGTGATGGAGATCCGTGTTTAATGATATTGATCATCAAATAGCCTGGATAAAGAGTATGTTCCCAGAAGAAAGAGATTTCTGAGACTGCTTTTATGTTATCCTTTACATTTCTATTTTTTGACTCTTTTTTTTTTGGCTTTTGGCTTTTGGGTCTCACTCTGTCACCCAGGCTGAAGTATAGTGGTGTGATCATGGCTCATTTTGGCCTCAAACTCTTGGGCTCAAGCAATCCTCCCATTTCAGTCTTTCCAGTCACTGGGATTAATGGTGTGTGCCACAAAACTTGGCTCTGTTTGATTTTTTTTTTTTTGGTGGACCATATATTTTACCAAAATATCTGAAATATTGTAAATGATATTTTTTGAAATATCGGAAAATATTTTTGGTATATTTTGGGGAAAAATACAAAACCAAAACAATCTACCTATTTACCTTCTCGTGAACTTATGAAATCAAATATTTTAAGCCTTATTTTCCCCAAACCGTATATGATTCTCTCAATAGTTGCAGAAAAATCTTCTGATAAAATCCAACACCTCTTCATGTTAAAACCCTCAATAAACTAGGTATCCAAAGAACATACTTCAAAATAATAAAAGCCATTTATTTCAGTCCCACAGCCAACATCATACCAAATAGGTAAAAGCTGGAAGCATTCCCTTTAAGAACTGGAATAAGACAAGAATTCTGACACTACTCTTATTCAACGTAGTACTGAAAATCCTAGCCAAATAAATCAGGCAAGAGAGAGAAATAAAAAGCATCCAGATAGGAAAAGAGGAGTCAAATTATGCTATGATTCTATGACTAGAAAACCCCAAAGACTCTGCCAAAAGGCTTCTAGACCTGATAAAACAACTTAAGTCAAGTTTGAAGATACAAAATCAATGTAAAAAATCAATAGCATTTCTATACACCAATAATGTTCAAGCTGAGAGCCAAATCAAGAATGTAATTCCCTTTAAAATACACACACACACACACACACACACACACACACACACACACACAAAATCTAGGAATACTTCTAACCAAGGAAGTGAAAGATTTCCACAAAAAGAACTACAAAGCACTGCTGAAAGAAATCATAGATGACACAAACAAATGGAAAAACCTTCCATGCTTATGGATTGGAAGAATCAACAACATAAACAAAATGTCTAAATTTTACCGCCTAAAGCAATCTACAGATTCAACACTATTCCTATTAAATTACCAACGTCATTTTACACAGAACTAGAAAAAATGATTCTAAAATTACACGGAACCAAAAAAGAGCCCAAATAGCCATAACAATCCTAAGCAAAAAGAGCAAAACTGGAAGCATCACATTACTGGACTTCAAACTATGCTACAAGTCTACAGTAATCAAAACAGCAAGGTACTGGCACAAAAATAGGCACCTAGACCAATGGAACAGAATAAAGAACCCAGAAATAAAGCAGCATACCTACAACCAACTGATCTTGAACAAAGTCGACAAAAATAAGTAATGCAGAAAGGACTCCCTATTCCATAAATGGTCCTAGGAAAACTGGCTAACTATATTCAGAAGGATGAAACTTAACCCTTACCAAGCACCATATACAAAAATTAATTCAAGAAAGATTAAAGACTTAAATGTAAAGCCCCAAACTATAAAAATCCTGGGGAAAAAACTCAGAAATACCCTTTTGGACATTGGCCTTGGCAAAGAACTTATGACCAAGTCCTCAAAAGCAATTGCAACACACAAAAAATTGACAAATGGGACTTAATTAAACCAAAGAGCTTCTGCACAGCAAAAGTACCTATCAACAGAATAAACAGACATCTTACAGAATGGGAGAAAATATTTGCAAACTATGCATCTGACAAAGGACTAATATCCAGAATCTATAAGGAACCTAAACAAATCAACAAGAGAAAAACAAATAACCCCATTAAAGAATGGGCAAAGAACATGAATGGACAATTCTCAAAAGAAGACATAAAAGCAGCTAACAAACATATAAAAAATGCTCGAACACTAATCATTAGAGAAATGCCACTCAAAACCACAATGAGATACCATCTTGCACTAGTCTGAATGGCTATTACTAAAAAGTAAAATAATGACAGATATTGATGAGGCTGCAGAGAAAATGGAACACTTTTATACTGCTGGTGGGAATGTAGATTAGTTCAGCCACTATGGAAAGTAGTTTGGGAATTTCTCAAAGAACTGAAAATAGAATTACCATTCAACCTAGCAATTCCATCACTGGGTATGTGCCTCCCACCCAAATAAATTGTTCTACCCAAAAGACACATGCATTCACATGTTCATTGCAGCACTATTCACAATTGCAAAGACATGGAATCAAGCTAGGTGCCCATTAATGGTGGATTGGATAAAGAAAATGTGGTACATATACAACATGGAATGCTACACAGCCATAAAAGAGAACGAAATAATGTCCTTTGAAGCAATATGGATGCAGCTGGAGGCCATTATCCTTAGCAAATTAATGCAGAAATAGAAAACCGAACACCACATCTTCTCACTTGATTTAAAATTTAAGGAGATAAATCCTGGGTACATACAGACATAAAGATGGAAACAGTAGACACTAGGGATTCCAAAAGGAAGGAGAGGAGGAGAGGAGCAAGGACTGAAAAATTTCCTATTGTATACTATATTCACTGTCTGGGTGACAGGATTAATATAAGCCCAAACCTCAGCATCACACAATATACCCTTGTAATAAACCTGCCCATGTATCCCCCTGAATCTAAACTAAAAATAGAAATTTAAAAAACCCCTTTTTCATAGTAATCATAAAATATACACTTATGCAATTTATGAAAATAATATAGTTTTACCTCTGTTCTTTTCACTGCAGCTTTGTGAAGGTATAATTAACAAGTAAAAATTGCATACACTTACTATGTGTATGATGTTTTGACATATGTATATATTGTGAAGTGATTACCACAAACCAGCTAATTAACCTATCCATCAGCTGACATATTTTTTCTTGTTTTGTGGTGAGAATATTTAAGATCTACTCTCTTAACAAATTTCAAATATTAAATACTGTATTGTTAACTATATTCACCATGCTGCATATTAAATCCCCAGAACTTGTTCGCCTTATAACTGAAAGCTTGTACCTTCTGACCAACATCTCCCTATTTTCCCCTCCCCCAGCTTTTGGAAACCACCATTCTAATTCTATTCTCTGTTTCTGTGAATTCAGCTTTTTAAGATTTCATGTATAAGTGAGTTCATATCGTATTTGTCTTTCTCTGATTCATGTATTTTACTAAGCATAATGCCAACAAGGTTGATCCATGTTGTTGCAAGTGGCAGAATTTCCTTCTTTTTGATGGATGCTTGGTTTGTTTCCAAGTGTTGGCTAATGTGAATGATGCTACATTGAACACAAGAGTGCATATATCTCTTTGACATACTATTTTCGTTTCCTTTGGGTATATACCCAGCAGTGGGATTGCTGGATAAGATGGTAGCTCTAGTTTTGATTTTTGAGGAACCTCCATACTGTTTTCTAAAATGGCTGTTCCAATTTACATTCCCACCAGTAGTGCATAAGGATTCCCTTTCTTTCTGAATCCTTGCCAATACTTGTTATCTCGTCTCGATAATAGCCATCCTAACATGTTGGCTGATCTCATTGGGGTTTTAATTTTCATTTCTCTCATGAATAGTGCTGTTGAGCATTATCATTATTTCACGTATCTGTTGGCCATATGTATGTCTTCTATTGAGAAATGTCAGCTCAGGTCCTTTGGCCGTTTAAAAATCAATTTATTGTATTATTTTTGCTATGGAGTTGTTTGAATTCCTTGTATTTTTTGGATATTAACTCCTTATCAGATTTGTGAGTTACGTAAGATAATGGTTCAATTTTATTATTTTGCATATAGATACTAAGTTTTCCCAGCACCATTTATTGAATCAAGTATCCTTTCTCCTGTATATTCTTGACACATTTGTCAAATATTAGTTAGTTGACCATATATGTGAGGATTTATTTTTGGGGACTTGATTCTGTTCCATTGGTTTGTGTGTCTGCTTTTATGCCAGTATCATACAGTTTTGATTCTTATGGTTCTGTAATATGGTTTCAAGTCAGGAAATGTGATGCCTCAGCTTTTCTGTTGTTGTTGTTCAAGTTGTTTTGGCTATTTATGTTTTTTTGTGGTTCCATACATATTTTAGAATTTTTCCTCCAATGCTGTGAAAAATATCATTAGAGTTTTGATAAGAATTGCATTGAATCTGTCAATTACTTTGGGTATTATGGACATTTTAGTAGTATTAATTCTTCTATTCCATGAGCATGAAATATTTTAAACATTTATTTGTATTTTCTTCAATTTATTTCATCAATATTTTATAGTTTTAAGTGTAAAGATTAATCACTTCCAGGGTTAAATTTATTTCTAAATATTTTATTCATTTTGATGATACTGTAAATGGCATTTGTTTTTCCAGATAATTCAGTGTTACTGTACAGAAACACAATTATTTTATGGCACATGTATACATATGTAACTAACCTGCACAATGTGCACATGTACCCTAAAACTTAAAGTATAATAAAAAAAAAAGAAACAATTATTTTTTCCATTGACAAATAAAAATTGTATTTCTTTACAGTATACAATCATGGTGTTTTGATATATGAATACATTGTGGAATGGCTAAGTTAAGCTATTTAACATATTTATTACCTCCTTTTTTGTGATGAGAATATTTAAAATATAATATTTTGGCAATTTTTAAGAATACAATATATTGTTATTAAGTATGGCCATCATGATGTACAATAGATCACTTGAATTTATTCCTCCTAACTGAAATTTTGTATCCTTTCACTAAGATCTGTCTGTATTCCCCACCCCCCAGCCTCTGGTAAGCACCATCTTACTCCGTTTCTGTCAGTTTAACTGTTTTAGATTCCATTTGTTTCTCTGTGTCTCACTTATTTCACTTAATGTCCTCCAGGAAATACATGTTATAATTAATGGCAAGCTTTCTTTCTTTTTTAAAATTACTGAATAGTATTCTATAGTGTATATAAACCACATCTTCTTTATCCATTTTTTGTTGATGGACACTTAGGTTGATTTTTGCTATTGTGTATATTTTTGCTATTGTGTATATTTTTGCTATTGTGTATAATGCTGCAATGAACATGGGAGTGAGATATCTTTTCAAATAAGGCTTTCTTTGGGTATATATCCAGAACTGGGATTCCTGGATCATATGATATTTCTATTTTTAATTTTTTGAGGAACCCCCTTACTATTTTCCATAAAGGCTATACTAATTTATATTTCCACCAATAGAGTGCAAGGGTTTTCTTTCTCTGCATCCTCTCCAACATTATCTTTTATTTTTTTTGATAATAGCCATTCTAACATGTGTGAGGTGATCTCACTGTGGTTTTAATTTGCATTTTTCTAATGATTGGTGATGTTGAGCATTTTTTATATACCTGGCCATGTCTTTGAGAAATGTCTATTCAATCATTTGTCCAATTTTTCATTGGGCTGTTAGTTTTCTTACTACTGAGTTGTTTGAGTTCCTTATTTATTTTGCATATTAAACACATCAGATGTATGGTTTGCAAATATTTTCTACTAATATTTCTTTGGGTTGTCTATTCACTCTGTTGATTGTTTCCTTTTCTGTGCAGAAGCTTTTTAGTTTGATGTAATTCTATTTGTCTATCTTTATTTTTGTTGCGTGTGCTTTGAGGATCACCTAAAAAAACCATTGCTCAGGCCAATGTCATGGAGGTTTTCCCCTATGTTTTCTTCTTGTAGTTTTAAAGTTTATGGCATTATGTCTAACCTTTTAGTTAATTTTGAGTTGAGTTTCGTAGGTGGTGTGAGATGAGGGTCTAATTTCATTCTTCTGCAGGTGGACATCCAGTTTTCCAAACACCATTCATTAAAGAGACTGTTCTTTTCTCATTATGTGTTTTTGGCACTTTTGTTGAAAATCAGTTGGCTGTAAATACTTGGATTTATTTCTAGGTTCCTTATTCTATTGTATTGGTCTATGTGTCTCTTTTTATGCCAGTACCATACTGTTTTTATTACCATAGCTTTGTAGTATATTTTCAAATTAAGTACTATAATGCCTTCAGCTTTGTTCTTCTTGCTCAAGATTGCTTTGTCTGTTTAGAGTCTTTTGTGATTCCACATAAATTTTAAGATTGTTTCTCTATTTCTACGAAAAATGTCATTGGAATTTTGATAAGAACTGTATTGAATTTATTGATTATTTTGGGTAGTATGAACATTTTAGCAGTTTTAGTTCTTCCAATCCATGAACAAGGAATTTTTTCATTTATCGTCTTCAATTTCTTTTACCAATGCCTTACAGATTTCACTATACATATCTTTCACCTCTTTGGTTTAATTTATGCCTGAGCATTTTCATGTTTTGAAAATAGGATTGTTTTATTGATTCTTTTAAAAATAGTTTGTTGTTAGTGTAACACTACTTTTTTAAAAAAATATAAATTAAGTTCTAGGATACACGTGCAGAACATGCAGGTTTGTTACACAGGTATAAATGTGCCTTGGTGGTTTGTTGCACTGATCAACCCATCATCTACATTAGGTGTCTCTCCTAATGCTAGCCCTCTCCTAGCCTCCCACCCACTGACAAGCCCCAGTGTGTGATGTTCTCCTCCCTGTGTCCATGTGTTCTCATTATTCAACTCCAACTTATAAGTGAGAACATGCGGTGTTTGATTTTCCGTTCCTGCGTTAGTTTGCTGAGAATGATGGTTTCCAGCTTCATCCATGTCCCTGCAAAGGACATGAACTCATCATTTTTTATGGGTGCATAGTATTCCATGGTGCTTATGTACCACATTTTCTTTATCCAGTTTATCATTGTTGGGCATTTGGGTTGGTTCCAAGTCTTTGCTATTGTGAACAGTGCTGCAATAGACAAACGTGTGCATGTGTCTTTATAGTAGCGTGATTTATAATCCTTTGGGTATATACCCAGTAATGGGATAGCATGATTTATAATCCTTTAGGTATATACCCAGTAATGGGATTGCTGGGTCAAATGGTATTTCTGGTTCTAGATCCTTGAGGAATCGCCACACTGTCTTCTACAATGGTTGAACTAATTTACACTCCCACCAACATCGTAAAAGTGTTCCTATTTCTCCACATCTTCTCCAGCATCTGTTGTTTCCTGACTTTTTAATGATCACCATTCTAACTGGTGTGAGATGGTATCTCATTATGGTTTTGATTTGCATTTCTCTAATGACCAGTGATAATGAACTTTTTTTCATATGTTTGTTGGGCACATAAATGTCTTCTTTTGAGAAGTGTCTGTTTATATCCTTTGCCCACTTTTTGATAGGGTTGTTTGATTTTTTTCTTGTAAATTTAAGATACTTGTAGATTCTGGATATTAGCCCTTTGTCAGATGGATAGATTGCAAAAATTTTCTCCCATTCTTTAGGTTGCTTGTTCATTCTGATGATAGTTTCTTTTGCTATGCAGATGTTCTTTAGTTTAATTAGATCCCATTTGTTGATTTTGGCTTTTGTTGCCTTTGCTTTTGGTGTTTTACACATGAAGTCTTTGCCCATGCCTATGTCCTGAATGGTATTTCCCAGTTTTCTTGTAGGATTTTTATGGTTTTAGGTCTTACATTTAAGTCTTTAATCCATCTTGAGATAATTTTTGTATAAGGCGTAAGGAAGGGTCCAGTTTCTGTTTTCTGCATATGGCTAGCCAGTTTTCCCAACACCATTTATTGAATAGGGAATCCTTTCCCCATTGCTTGTTTTTGTGAGGTTTGTCAAAATCAGATGGTTGCAGATGTGTGGTGTTATTTCTGAGGCCTCTCTTCTGTTCCATTGCTCTATATATTTGTTTTGGTACCAGTACCATGCTGTTTTGGTTACTGTAGCCTTGTAGTATAGTTTGAAGTCAGATAGCGTGATGCCTCCAGCTTTGTTCTTTTTGCTTAGAATTGTGTTGGCTATACAGGCTCTTTTTTGGTGCCATGTGAAATTTAAAGTAGTTTTTCTAATTCTGCGAAGAAAGTTAATGGTAGCTTGATTGGGATAGCATTGAATCTATAAATTCCTTTGGGCAGTATGGCCATTTTCACGATATTGATTCTTCCTATCCATGAACATGGAATGTTTTTCCATTTGTTTGTGTCTTCTCTCATTTCCTTGAGCAGTGGTTTGTAGTTCTCCTTGAAGAGGTCCTTCACATCCCTTGTAAATTGTACTCCTAGGTATTTTATTCTCTTTGTAGCAATTGTGAATGAGAGTTCACTCATGATTTGGCTATTTGTTTGTCTATTACTGGTGTATAAGAATGCTTGTGATTTTTGCATGTTGATTTTGTATCCTGAGAGTTTGCTGAAGTTGCTTATCAGCTTAAGGAGATTTTGGGCTGAGACGATGGGGTTTTCTAAATATGTAATCATGTCACCTGCAAACAGAGACAATTTGACATCCTTTCTTCCTATCTGAATACCCCTTATTTCTTTCTCTTGCTTGATTGTCCTGGCCAGAACTTCCAATACTATGTTGAGTAGGCGTGGTGAGAAAGGGCATCTTTGTCTTGTGCTGGTTTTCCAAGAAAATGCTTCCAGCTCTTGCCTATTCAGAATGATACTGGCTGTGGGTTTGTCATAAACAGCTCTTATTATTTTGAAATATGTTCCATCAATACCTAGTTTATTGAGTGTTTGTAGCATGAAGGGGTGTTCAATTTTATTGAAGGCCTTTTCTGCATTTATTGAGATAATCATGTGGTTTTTGTCGTTGGTTCTGTTTATCTGATGGATTACGTTTATTGATTTGTGTATGTTGAACCAGCCTTACATCCCAGGGATGAAGCTGACTAGCTCATGGTGAATAAGCTTTTTGATGTGCTGTTGAATTGTTTGCTAGTATTTTATTGAAGATTTTCACATCAATGTCCATCAGGGATATTGGCCTGAAATTTTCTTTTTTGTTGTTGTTGTGTCTCTGCCCTGTTTTGGTATCAAGATGATGCTGACTTCATAAAATGAGTTAGGGAGGAGTCCCTCTTTTTCTATAGTTTGGAATAGTTTCAGAAGGAATGATACCAGGTCATCTTAGTACCTCTGGTAGAATTTGGCTGTGAATCTGTGTGGTCCTGGAATTTTTTTGGTTGGTAAGCTGCTAATTATTGCCTCAATTTCAGAGCCTGTTATTGGTCTATTCAGAGATTCAACTTCTTCCTGGTTTAGTCTTGGGAGGGTGTATGTGTCCAGAAGTTTATCAATTTCTTCTAGATTTTCTGGTTTATTTGCGTAGTGGTGTTTATAATATTCTCTGATGGTAGTTTGTATTTCTGTGAGATCAGTGGTGATATCTCTTTATCGTTTTTTGTTGTGTCTGATTCTTCTCTCTTTTCTCCCTTTTCATAAAGCATTTCATGGATTCATTGACTTTTTGAAGGGTTTTTTGTGTCTGTATCTCCTTCAATTTTGCTCTGATTTTAGTTATTTCTTGTCTTCTGCTAGCTTTTGAATTTGTTTGCTCTTGCTTCTCTAGTTCTTCTAATTGTGATGTTAAGGTGTCAGTTTTAGATCTTTTCCTCTTTCTGATGTTGGCATTCAGTGCTATAAATTTTCCTCTAAACACTGCTCTAGCTGTGTCCCAGAGATTCTAGTACATTGTGTCTTTGTTCTCATTGGTTTCAAAGAACTTCTTTATTTCTGCCTTAATTTTGTTATTTACCCAGTAGTCATTCAGGAGCAGGTTGTTCAGTTTCCATGTAGTTGTGTAGTTTTGAGTGAGTTTCTTAATCTTGAGTTCTAATTTGATTGCACTGTGGTCTGAGAGACTGTTTTGTATGATTTCTCTTTTGCATTTGCTGAGGAGTGTCTTACTCCCAATTATGTGGCCAATTTTAGATTAAGTGTAATGTGGTTCTGAGAAGAATGCATATTCTGCTGATTAGGGGTGAAGAGTTCTGTAGATGTCTATTAGGTCTGCTTGGTCCAGAGCTGAGTTCAAGTTCTGAATATCCTTATTAATTTTCTGTCTCACTGATCTGTCTAATATTGACAGTGGGGTGTTAAAGTCTCCCACTATTATTGTGCAGGAGTCTGAGTCTCTTTGTAGGTCTCTAAGAACTTGCTTTATGAAACTGGGTGCACTTGTATTGGGTGCGTATATATTTAGGATAGTTAGCTCTTCTCGTTGCACTGATCCCTTTACCGTTATGTAATTCCCTTCTTTGTCTTTTTTGATTTAAAGTCTGTTTTATCAGAGACTAGGATTGCTACTGCTGCTTTTTTTTTTTTTTGGCTTTCCATTTGCTTGGTAAATATTCCTCCATCCCTTTATTTTGAGCCTGTGTGTGTCTTTGCACATGAGATGGGTCTCCTGAATACAGCACACTGATGGGTCTTGACTCTTTATCCAATTTATCAGTATGTGTCTTTTAATTGGAGCATTTAGCCCATTTATATTTAAGGTTAATATTGTTATGTGTGAATTTGATCATGTCATTATGATGCTAGCTGGTTATTTTGCCTGTTAGTTGATGCAGTTTCTTCATAATGTCAATAGTCTTTACAATACTGCAAAAACAGTACTGATTTTTTTATGTTGATTTATATCCTGAACTAGTTCATTAGTTTTAACAGTTTTTGGTGTAATATTTGGGGTTTCTATATATAACAATAGGTAATCAGTATACAAAGACCATTTCTTTCCTTCCTCCCTCCCTCCCTTTCTCTCTCTCTTTCTTTCTCTCTCTCTTTTGTTCATTCCGATTTGTATGCTTTTAATTTCTTTCTCTTGCCTAATTGCCATGGCTATAACTTCCAGTACTAGGTTGAATAGAAGTGGTGAGAGTGGGCATCTTTGCTTTGTTTCTGATCTGAGAGGGAAAACTTTCAAATTGATGGTCTCAGCTGTGGGGTTGTCATACATGGTCTTTATTGTGTTGTCATACATTCCTTATAACCAATTTGTTGAGACATTTCTTATGAAGAAATGTTGAATGTTTTTCAAATTCTTTTCCAATCTCAAAGTACCAGAATTCTTCCTGAGGTGTTTTTTTTTTTTTTTTTGGCAGGGTCTTGCTCTGTCACCCAGACTAGAGTGCAGTGGTGTGATCATGGCTCACTGCAGACTTGACCTTCTGGTCTCCGGGAATCCTGCCTCAGCCCCCTGAATAGCTGGAACTATGGAACTATGAGCATGCACCACCACACTTGGCTAATTTTTAAATTTCTGTAGGATAGGTGTCTCACTACATAGCCCAAGTTGGTCTTGAACTTCTGGGCTGAAGCAATTCTCCTGCCTTGGCTTCCCAAAGTGCTGGGATTAGAGGTATAAGCCACCATGCCTGGTCCTTTCATGAGTTTTTATGCTTGCAATTCAGATTAATAAGTGAATGACAGTGAGAATTCAATTCTCCAATGCCTACTCTCATAATCTAAAGAAAGCAAGGCAGAAGTGTTTTCCTGAAAGGAAGAATCTTTGTTTTTAGTTTTTTAAAGATTAGGTTTACTGGATGTCAGAAATATATGTTTACATTAAGGCAACATTGAGTATTGATGATGGTATGTAAGTTCTTAGCTGTCAAGCCTCTTAAACAGTGTTCTCTGAATTTTACATATGTGAAAAGACATTAATCCTCTTAGACTTTGGGGTTGTTGTGTGAGGCCTAGGAGGAGCACACTAGCAGTGGCCAGTCTTCTTTAATCAAGAACAGCCTTATACATTCCATGTTATGTGTGCTATGATGTGAAAATATTTGGAAAACTCTCTCTTCCCCCATTGCTGCCAGACTTATGGTCTTTCTTTGTTCCCAGGTGGCTGATTTAGGTTCCAGGCAGAATGGAATTGGGTGCCCTGGAAGCCTGAGGTAGATTTGGTACTATGGAGGGTGCACTTGCTGATATGAAGTTTTATTTTATACAAATCCTGGAGAAGCTAAGTGAGGCCATGTCAGTGTTGCCAGAAGACATGAGAATCATGCCAGATCTCTGTGGCTTAACATTGGAACATAGTGGTAAGTGCAGCTATATTTGTGTTTCTTAATAGTTGAAAGCCAGGTTTATATAAATAGGAAGAAAGAGTTTGCCATAGAATTTATGCTTTAGTTGGAGAAAAATGTAAAGTTGTTGATAAATTAGGCTGATTAAAAAATAATGTGAACACTTAAATTACCTTTAATGGAGTGCAGCCTTGAGAAGAAGATACCACGTGGTCCAAGTCTATATCAAATTTGAGTTTAAAATAGATACTTTCAGAAAAGAATCAAAAGGAAGAAAGTCTTAATGTTCACATTGAGTTAAGGTGATGGCTAGCTTTGGAACTGGAGTTCAGCCAGTAGAAGATGTGTTCAGGTCCTTTTAATCCCAAAAAGTGGATGCGAAATAACCATAAATATATGTCAGAAGAGTAAAAAAAGCCAGCAAGTTAAGATAGCAACAAAATATGGCTAAAATGAGCATTGCAATGTCCAGGAAAGCATAAACTACACGCAAAAAAGCTCAAGAATGGGATGACCAACTGAGCAAACAGTGAACTGAAAAGATATGTAAATTATTGTAACAAGTGCTAAATTATAAGTAAGGTCAGAGCAAATATTGAAACACTTGATGAATATTTTCTACTGCACTTGGAGAAGTTAAATTGATGTCAGGGACTCAGGGACTTAGAATTGGGGAGAATGAAGCAATCAGAAAGTAAGTACCAGTCAATCATCAGTCAAAAGGGGCTTTGAGGAAATTGATTTATGCTTCTGTAAAGACTTTTGATGGAGGAAGAAACAAAATATAAATTAAATTATTTGAACACATTATTAAAGGCTTTATTTGTTTTTAACTGATATACGTAATTGTTTAAGATGATGTAAAAATTTTCCAAGTTCGTTTACAATTTAAAGAGTTTGTATTGTTTAGAAGTCTGTAAAGGATGTGAGAGAAACACTGGGTAATTCTTCTTCATGTATTTTTATTTTCTTTTTTATGTAAACAACATAAATTTATTGCTTACAGTTCTGGAGGCTGGGAAGTTCAAGATCAAGGTACCAGCAAATTTCATTACCTGGTAAGCATTCATTTCTTATGGATGGTGCCTTCTGTGTGTCCGGTGTAAAGGGCAAAACAGGCTCCCTTTCCTCAAGCCTCTTGTCATTAAAGCCTGTAAAAATTACAGTAAAAGTATTCAGAATGGGTTAAGCAATTTGACCGTCAGGAAATTCAATTGAAAAGTGAGGTTCAAAACCTTCCTCAGAAAGTTAAAGTTCTAAATTGTATTGAGAAAATACAATAAAGATTCACAGAATATTTATATTAGAATGAATTAATTAAATACAGAACATTTTAAAGGCAACTAAAAAGATCAGCCATGCTCATTAAGTAACAGATACCTACAGAAAATGTCTGTCTTTGTCTTGCATTTAAAAATTGATATATCATAGTTATACATAGGCCAAACTTCTTTTTTTATTTATTATACTTTAAGTTTTAGAGTACATGTGCACAACGTGCAGGTCTGTTACATATGTATACATGTGCCATGTTGGTGTGCTGCACCCAGTAACTCGTCATTTAACATTAGATATAACTCCTAACGCTATCCCTCCCCCCTCCCCCCACCCCACAACAGGCCCTGGCACGTGATGTTCCCCTTCCTGTGACCATGTGTTCTCATTGTTCAATTCCCACCTATGAGTGAGAACATGCGGTGTTTGGTTTTTTGTCCTTGTGATAGTTTGCTGAGAATGATGGTTTCCAGCTTCATCCATGTCCCTACAAAGGAAATGAACTCATCATTTTTTATGGCTGCATAGTATTCCATGGTGTATATGTGCCATATTTTCTTAATCCAGTCTATCATTGTTGGACATTTGGGTTGGTTCCAAGTCTTTGCTATTGTGAATAGTACTGCAATAAACATGCATGTGCATGTGTCTTTACAGCAGCATGATTTATAATCCTTTGGGTATATACTCAGTAATGGGATAGCTGGGTCAAATGGTATTTCTAGTTCTAGATGCCTGAGGAATCGCCACACCAACTTCCACAATGGTTGAACTAGTTTACAGTCCCACCAACAGTGTAAAAGTGTTCCTATTTCTCCACATCCTCTCCAGCACCTGTTGTTTCCTGACTTTTTTTTTTTTTTTTTTTTTTTTTTTTTTTGAGACGGAGTCTCGCTCTGTCGCCCAGGCTGGAGTGCAGTGGCGCGATCTCGGCTCACTGCAAGCTCCGCCTCCCGGGTTCATGCCATTCTCCTGCCTCAGCCTCCCGAGTAGCTGGGACTACAGGCGCCCGCTACCACGCCCGGCTAATTTTTTGTATTTTTAGTAGAGACGGGGTCTCGATCTCCTGACCTCGTGATCCGCCCGCCTCGGCCTCCCAAAGTGCTGGGATTACAGGCGTGAGCCACCGCGCCCGGCCTGTTTCCTGACTTTTTAATGATCGTCATTCTAACTGGTGTGAAATGGTATCTCACTGTGGTTTTGATTTGCGTTTCTCTGATGGCCAGTGATGATGAGCATTTTTTCATGTGTCTTTTGGCTGCATAAATGTCTTGTTTTGAGAAGTGTCTGTTCATGTCCTTCACCCACTTTTTGATGGGGTTGTTTGTTTTTTTCTTGTAAATTTGTTTGAGTTCATTTTAGATTCTGGATATTAGCCCTTTGTCAGATGAGTAGGTTGCAAAAATTTTCTCCCATTCTGTAGGTTGCCTATTGACTCTGATGGTAGTTTCTTTTGCTGTGCAGAAGCTCTTTAGTTTAATTAGATCCCATTTGTCAATTTTGGCTTTTGTTGCCATTGCTTTTGGTGTTTTAGACATGAAGTCCTTGCCCATGCCTATGTCCTGAATGGTATTGCCTAGGTTTTGTTCTAGGGTTTTTCTGGTTTTAGGTCTAACATTGAAGTCTTTAATCCATCTTGAATTAATTTTTGTATAAGGTGTAAGGAAGGGATCCAGTTTCAGCTTTCTCCATATGGCTAGCCAGTTTTCCCAGCACCATTTATTAAATAGGGAATCCTTTCCCCATTGCTTATTTTTGTCAGATTTGTCAAAGATTAGATAGCTGTAGATATGTGGCGTTATTTCTGAGGGCTCTGTTCTGTTCCATTGGTCTATATCTCTGTTTTGGTACCAGTACCATGCTGTTTTGGTTACTGTAGCCTTGTAGTATAGTTTGAAGTCAGGTAGTGTGATGCCTCCAGCTTTGTTCTTTTGGCTTAGGATTGACTTGGCAATGTGGGCTCTTTTTTGGTTCCATATGAACTTTAAAGTACTTTTTTCCAATTCTGTGAAGAAAGTCATTGGTAGCTTGATGGGGATGGCGCTGAATCTATAAATTACCTTTGGCAGTATGGCCATTTTCACAATATTGATTCTCCCTACACATGAGCATGGAATGTTCTTCCATTTGTATCCTCTTTTATTTCATTGAGCAGTGGTCTGTAGTTCTCCTTGAAGAGGTCCTTCACATCCCTTGTAAGTTGGATTCCTAGGTATTTTATTCTCTTTGAAGCAATTGTGAATGGGAGTTCACTCATGATTTGGCTCTCTGTTTGTCTGTTATTGGTGTATAAGAATACTTGTGATTTTTGCACATTGATTTTGTATCCTGAGACTTTGCTGAAGTTGCTTATCAGCTTAAGGAGATTTTGGGCTGAGACGATGGGGTTTTCTAGATATACAATCATGTCATCTGCAAGCAGGGGCACTTTGACTTCCTCTTTTTCTAATTGAATACCCTTTATTTCTTTCTCCTGCCTGATTGCCCTGGCCAGAACTTCCAACACTATGTTGAATAGGAGTGGTGAGAGAGGGCATCCCTGTCTTGTGTACATAGGCCAAAATTCTTAAAGAAAAATTGGAAAAAATTACTTGTTCCTATCAAAGACTCACTATTTCCCATATTTAAAAAGCTTATAGTTATTGACTTATAGTTCAGTTGAACCTCAATGAGGTTCAATGAGTTAGGAAAATCCATATGAAAGACCAGAGATCAGCTAATTTTCCCCACAAGAGCCAGATGGAAAATAGTTCAGGTTTTGCAGGCCAGGAAGCAAAATTTAAATATTATGAAATAATTAAATATTAAATATTATGAAAATAAGTAAATAAAATTTAAATATTATGAAACTATAAATATTAAATATTAGGCAACAAGACAGAAAAATTCCCACATAATGTTCTATTGGCTAAAAAAAAAAAACCCTGACAATAGTGAATGCTAGAAAAAAAATGCAGAACAAGGGGAACTCTTATTTATTACTGATGAGAATGCAAAATGTTAAAATCACTTTGAGGAACCACTTGGCAGTTTCTTATAAAGCTTAAAATAAACTCAACATATGACCCAACCCCATCATTCTTCATAGAACTAGAAAAAACAATCCTAAAATTCATGTGGAACCAAAAAAGAGCCCACATAGCCAAAGCAAGACTAAGCAAAAAGAACAAATCTGGAGGCATCACATTACCTGATTTGAAACTATACTATAAGGCCATAGTCACCAAAACAGCATGGTATGGGTATAAAAGTAGGCACATAGACCCATGGAACAGAATAGAGAACCAAGAAATAAAACCAAATACTTATAACCAACTGATCTTTGACAAAGCAAACAGAAACATAAAGTGGGGAGAGGACATGCTATTCAACAGATGTTGCTGGGATAATTGGCAAGCCATATGTAGGATAATGAACCAGGATCCTCATCTCTCACCTTATACAAAAATCAACTCAAGATGGATCAAAGCTGAGTGCGGTGGCTCACGCCTGTAATCCCAGCACTTTGGGAAGCCGAGGCAGGTGGATCACGAGGTCAGGAGATCAAGACCATTCTGGCTAACATGGTGAAACCCCGTCTCTACTAAAAATACAAAAAATTAGCTGGGCATGGCAGCGGGCGCCTGTAGTCCCAGCTACTCGGGAGGCTGAGGCAGGAGAATGGCGTGAACCCAGGCAGCAGAGCTTGCAGTGAGCTGGTATTGAGCCACTGCACTCTAGCCTGGGGGACAGAGCAAGACTCTGTCTAAAAAAAAAAAAAAAAAGATGGATCAAAGACTTAAATCTAAGACCTAAGACCTGAAACTATAAAAATTCTAGAAGATAACATTGAAAAAAACCTTCTAGACATTGGCTCAGGCAAAGATTTCTGACCAAGAACCCAAAAGCAAATGCAACAAAATCCAAGATAAATAGGTGGGGTTTAATGAAACTAAAGAGCTTTGGCACAGCAAAAGAACAGTCAGCAGAGTAGATTACTCACAAAGTGGGAGAAAATTTTTCACAATCTATACAATCTGTACATCTGACAAAGGACTAATAATCCAGTATTTACAAGGAACTCAGACAAATTAGCAAGAAAAAATCAAACAATCCCATCAATAAGTGGGCTAAGGACATGAATAGACAATTCTCAAAAGAAGATATACAAATGGCCAGCAAACATATGAATAAATGCTCAACATCACTAATGATCAGAGAAATGCAAATCAAAACTGCCATGAGATACCAACCTTACTCCTGCAAGAATGACCATTATAAAAAATTTTTAAAAAATATATATTGGCATGGATGTGGTGAAAGGGAACACTTCTACACTGCCGATGGGAATGTAAACTAGTACAACCACTATGGAAAACAGTGTTGAGATTCCTTAAAGAACTAAAAGTGGAACTACCATTTGATCCAGCAATCCCCTTACTGGGTATCTACTCAGAGGAAAAGAAGTCATTATACGAAAAATATACTTGCACATGCATGTTTATAGCAGCACAATTTGCAATTGCAAAAATGTGGAACCAGTCCAAATGCCCATCAATCAACGAATAGATAAAGAAACTGTGGTATATATATATATATATATATATACACACAATGGAATACTACTCAGCCATAAAAAGGAATGAATTAATGGCATTCACAACAACCTAGATGGGATTGGAGACTATTATTCTAAATGAAGTAACTCAGGAATGGAAAACCAAATATTGTATGTTCTTGCTCATAAGAGGGAGCGAAGCAATGAGGATGCAAAGGCATAAGAATGATACAATGGACTTTGGGGACTGGGTGGGGGAAAGGGTAGGAGGGGAGGGAGGGATAAAAGACTACAAATTGAGTTCAGTGTATACTGCTCAGGTGGTGGGTGCACCAAAATCTCACAAATCACCACTAAAGAACTTATGTAACCAAATACCACCTGTTACCTAAAAACCTATGGAGATAAAAAATTTAAAAAAACATTCAGCTACAAACCTCTTTTGCTACACTCATTGTTTAGTATATGACACATTTTTGCATGATTCTGTTATATAGGTTTTAATAGTAGGTAATTAGGACAGTGGGTAATACTTATCATTCATTCATTTATTTAAAAAATACTTATTTAGAGCCCATTCTCTCAATACAGGTCAGTACTATGAAGGAGAGGTACACAGTGAAATCAGGCCTAGTCCTTACAGACATGTTGGTATGCCAGGGAGTCAACTTTCCTCCAAAAGAGTGATGTTTCCTTGTCTCCAACAATGGCAAAACTATAATATATAATATTTCTTTATCAGCGGTTTGCACATTGTGTGTTAATAGATTTTGTTCTTGTCATTCAGAAGAGCACAGTGGAAATACATGAAGGATGGGCAGATGTGTGAAGGCCTCAAATGAATGTATGTAGTTGTTAGAAAAACAAATGTTTTTCTTAAACACAAGTTGAAAGACAGGGGAGCAGAGGAAGTATAAGAAAAATTATGGATTTATAATGAGGAGAGTTGATGTTATGGATAAAGTCAACAGAACACTGCCTTCTTACATCATTATCCAACTTTCTACTTTGTCACCTCTATCTCAAAATTGACGGTCTGATAGCTAGTTTATTTTATATTTGCCCCAGGTTGTGCTCTACCTTCTTTTTCCATTTTCCTTCTGCTGAATATTCTGATTTTAAATGATGAGACGATTTAATCCTTCGGTTACCTACCAAATACATCTAATTTTCTCATTCTAGGTAGGTTGTCTTCCCATTGAAGGGTGAGTGGCTCTCAATATTAAGAGACAACATAGAAATTTCTGAAGATTTTAACTTCTCCATCTGATAACCTAGAAATAATTACTTCAGTCAAATACCTCAGAAGGAAGAAATCCCATTAAGATCGATAGGAAAGAGTCAGATATTATTTTTGAATTATTTTATTTGTAAAGGATCAGTGAATTTGTGGTTGAGAGGGTCAGTTATGGAATATGAGATATTAACCTATTTGATCTTGCTGGCAATCCATAAAAAGTTAATTTGCAAATAAAAGATTAGCCTTTAAATCACATTCATAATAACAAGAAGGTAAACTGCAGTCTATATTACTCATATATATTTTTCAAAGTAACACATAAAATGATAGGACTTGATTTTTGCTCTGAGTAAATGAGTCAGTCTATTAACATTTATTTATTGCCCACTTTTTAGATGCCTATGGATATTTCTAGATAAATACAAAGGAATATAAGGACATAGTTCTCACTACCATGCAAATTGCAGACAATCTGAGGATTAGGATTCACACTTGAAATGATATCCAACAAACCCCATTGTGTGGTACAAAAGCATATATGTAGACAGGGTGGGTAGTAAAGAATGCTAACAATTTTGGAGGAGGTTAAATCAACATGTAATTTTAGAACAGGAGATCTTCTGACCTGTATATGAAGAATGTGGAGTATAAAAATAATTACTTTTGTTCTCTTCCTGGTGATACAAAAAGACAAGAAGCCTCCTCATTGCCCCTTTTATGTCCCTGTTGCTCAAAGTGTAGATAAAAGGGTTAAGCATAGGAGTCACCAAACTGTAGAACAGGGACATGAATTTGTTTTTGTCCTGGGAGTTGGCAGAGGGCTGTACATACATGCTAATTACAGGCCCATAGAGGAGAGATACAATATGAGAACCACATGTGTTGAAGACCTCCTTCTTTCCCCCTGAGGACTGAATCCTCAGCACAGTAGCTACAATGAATCCACAGTAAGCAAAGATAATTGATTAGAGAACGAGGGACTAAAATATCCTCACAATGGAGAGCATAGATACATTGAATGTGGTGTCAAAACGTGATATCTTGATCATCGCTGAGACCTCACACAGAAAGTCGTCCACCTTGTTACCGCCTAGTGGCAGCTGGACGGCAAGGGATGACTGAAGTAGAGTTGGCCAAACTGCTTAGCCATGCCATGGCCACTAGGAGGACACAGAGTTGCTGATGCATGATAGCTGGGTACCTCAAGTGTTTGCAGATGGCAATGTAAGGATCCAAAGACGTCACAGCTAAAATGATGCATTTGGTGCTCCCCTAAAATATCCCCTGGGTACCACAATAATTGAGATGTTGTCCACCAGTATGCAGAGATAAGCAACAAGCCCCATTATGAAGAGAAACATTTCCGGCTAGGGGTGGTCAAAGAAACCCCAGAGAATGAAGATCTTTCGAGCAATTGCATTGCCCAGATTCCTGTCATTGCTCTTGTTGGTGGATTTGAGGGAAAGGAAAGGCTACTTTAGTATTGAATTTTTCTGATACTCCACTTATTCAGTTAAGTAAAATAAACTGAGTTATGAAGGGGTTTTCTCTGTGATGTAACTAAACTGATGTGATTTGACACTTGTAAGCATGAAAAATTTTATCTAAAGGCCAAAATGTTACCTTTCTAGTGCCTCTAAAAGGAAGATCAACAAATCTCTGTATCTTACCCAAGAAATGCAATATAGCAAACTTTTACAGAATAATGATTAAGTAATGGGAAACATAATTAATCTTATATTAGAAAAATGAATCAGATGGAGAAATGAATAATTTTAAAGAATGCCCAAGAACTACCCATGCTAACTAACACGTGTTAATTTCTTTCATCCAAAATCTGTTGGCCCTGGTCATGTTCTGGTTCAATTTGTGAGTTGATGTAGGTGAGTTCAGAACTCACTGAGCTCCACGTGGATCAGTCTGATTTGCATAGAAACAACATAGTGCTATTCCTTACCTCTTCTTCCCAAATCCTGGAATGACGATCGCCAACATAAAACTTTTGTCATAAAAGGAAGCACACAGCTGAAAGGAAATGGTTCCTTGCAACACGTTCAGTACTTACAAGACAAGATAATTCATTGCACAGCCAAGTGATATAAGGTCATTAAAGTATCAGCAGTTATACAGTATGATGTATGTTAGTGCTTTTCACACTGTGAGTTGTAATCTATTACGCAGTTATATACTATTTTATTGATTTATTTTACTTATTCTCATCACTCATTTTATATATGTGTTTGTATGACCTGGATTCTGATGTACAATATATTCCTTACTATAGGTAATGGTAAAAAATTTGGACAATACTGGCATAGTAGAAAAGAAACAAGAATGATATTAGAAAATCTAGATTTAGTCCACTTCCCAATTACTAATACATGTACATTTTAGGTCTTGCTTAAATATTCAGAAACTTCTTTATCTATCTTGCTCCGTTGTGGAGATTAATTAGCACCATATGTGTGAACACGCTTTATTAAGTCCAATACTCAATGTTGGGTTGGTTATTTTTCATGAAATAAAGTTCCCTGTTTGATTTTAAGTCTATATCTGATAGTTAATTTTTCTTTGTATCCAAATATTAACCATGTCCTTATATTCCCATAAGAAGTCTTAGAAGGGTTGTTTTTTCTACCATTTTATTTCCCTACATTACTCAGATCCCTTGCCTTGAATCTGATGTTAATGATTTCTAGATTTTAATATCAGTACACATATGTTTTTAATCAGTGGAAATGCTCACAAATGCAAACAGTACCATAGATTATTTTTCAAAAACATGTTTCAATGTTTTAAATTATAATGATTAGTATTAGTATTAATAGGTGTCAATTTATTTATACTTTTTTTAACTGCTCCTTGCCTAGCAGGGCTATCCTATAGGCAGTGTGCCCACAGTAGCCTTTTTTAAAATAGTTTTTTTAGTATGCAAATTTTCATAAGGAGATCACAACATGCATGTGGTTGTATAAAAAGATTAAATCAATCAAGCTAAATAGATCATTTCTACTCATATGCAACAGTTGCCTAAATCAGTGTTGATATTTTTTAGGGGTACCCTCTTTTCTTGCAAAAAAGAACATTAATCTTTTTCTTCCATCAGAATTCAGTGTTAATTGGGGATAAAGATTGAATGTTCTTTCTGTATTCAGTGGTTTTATGTCATATCAGAGGTCTTTAATAGTTATTTATTTGATTGAAAGGATCCCAAATCTTTTGATTTATTGTTTATTTATTTATTTATGCTTTAACTTTTAATTAAAATGCTTAGGATACAGATTGACTTTCTTTTGTAAATGACTGTTTTACTTTTTCTGAAATAGGACATACATGCACTCTGATAAAACAGAATGAAACATCTTAATTCATGAGAATTCCTGTACAAGGCGCTGATCCTGTGTTTAGAGCTGAGCTCCTCACAGCAGCTGCCCTACGTAGAACCGACAGTTTTCTAGCTTGCAACAAAGTTACTAGGGACAAATAGGGAAAAAAAATCCGAAACTAAAAGTAAGAAAACCAACATGGAAGCAATCATACTTCTCATGTCTCTGATAAGAGAAGTATGGGGAACCTTTAACCAAAGGAAAATTTAAAAAAAATGCAAGTTAACTATCTAGTTCATTCACTGTTAGCTAGATTTGTTCAGTTAAGGCTTTAACCCCTTTCCAAACAATTTTATCTTAATCCAGCTATGCTTGCTAATAAATGAAATGCATGCACTTCCCGGAAATATACTTCACTGAGCCTCTGCATTCAGTACCTGGCAGTGAAAAAGTATGTTTCCCGAACAAGTCAGTACTGAAGACTGAGAACTCCAACTAAATAACTATACTCTCTCCCCAATAATATGTTATCCACATTTTCCCTACCCTCACATTAGAATAAAGATATCCTCCTAACTTTTCATCTCCTATCTCCTGTCTTTTCCTAGGAGATCTTATCTTTTGATCTTTTACTACAAGGGTAGAATTTAGGTTAAGATCATAAAAAACCAATTTCACATGTGACACTAAGAAAATGGAATGCTATAAAATCAATCCTCATCACCGTGGTAGGGATGCTGTTGCTTTTATCCTGAGTCTTTACTGCCAATAAGTGATGCTGCTTCCAAAGGAACAGCTCTACAGAAAGTTTTTGAGTTAGTGTTTCCCCCCAGCTTATTTCTACAATGGGGAAAGGCAATTTCATATTAAAAAAATCCACACAAACACACCTGGAAAAGCTACAGATGTTAACCTTTACTTTAAACACAGCAACGTAGATATCTAAGGAGATAAGATGTAAGACAAAGAGCTCAGGAAAAATCCAATAGAGACCAAATTCTGCAAATGGAAATTTTAAAGCCCAGTGAGTAAATTTTTCCTGCATTCAGACAAGTGCTACAATACATTTAAGTCCTCAACTCCCAGAATTAAGAGCCCTTAAGCTGTTAACTTTGTCCTGTCTTCCTATTCAGAAAAATTTTCCTCTAGAATCTGTGCAAAAGTAACTGACACACCTGCAGTATGTGACAACATAAGAGATGTTCTCAACTTTTTCATGAGGTGAAAGTTACTTTTTATAACTGAAAATGAAAAAGGAAGGTGCTATAGAGGGAAATAAAATTTCACCAAAGTATAAAAGTAAAGACTGGATGAAACCTATAACTTTATAAATAAGAATAATAACAGTAACTTACACTATAATTAACTGCTCAATAGTGAATGATCTGCTACACATTCCTTGAGAAGGAATGACCCTAGCTTACCACAGTGGAAACCTGCCGCAATTACAAGGCCAGGATTCTGCCCCTTTTCTGGTTCTCTGTTCACAAGGTAATGCCACCTTCTCCAAGGCAGTTAGAGAGACAGGTGAGCTCAGGGGAGCTTCTCTCACCAACCTGCTAACTCAGCAGGAGTGAGTTTACCCAAATGAGCTCTGGCCTCCAATGTGTATCTGTTCATAATTTTATGAAGTATCTAAATGTCATTCATTAGTTTAAAAAAGAATAGAAAACTCTGGACTAAGTAAATTTTGAACTCGAAAAGTTAGAAGGGGTATCAATTATATTAACAACACTTTCTTTAAAAATAGAATCACTTTCTTTTGAAATCAACCAGAGTGGTGAGATGTGTTTTTCTTTTCAGGTGCCCCATAATGGCACACAGCTTTACTCAGCAACCCCTGCCAGCTTCCAAGCCCCAGGATACTGACCTGCACCAGCACATGGGGCAGCATTACCTCCCCAACAGTGTGGAGAAGAGAACATTTCACCACTGGGTGATGAGAGTAGACAGTGACTCTTGGCTTCTCAATGCTAGACATGATTGGAGACCTTTCATTGTTCTATTAGAAAAGTCCATGAAGAAGCTGTGAACAGGATCAGTCCAGAGGAGAAAAACTCTTATTTTCTCTGTCCAAACATCAGTCAATACATTGGGAGAGCCAGCAGAATCCCTCGCCCTAGCCTTGCCTCTTGAGCACACTGCACATGAACACTTCAGTGGGGTGAGCGTTCAGCTCCTAAAGGGCCATGTTCCTCTTTCCTGTGGTCTGTCCAGAAAGCCCAAATATCTCAAAGAGTTTTTCTTCACTTATTGCATTGTTCTGTCTATTTTGTTACCCAATATAAGGATTGGCACATTGGATATTATTTCATCAGTCATTAAAGCATTAAGCTCAACTTTAGATTCCATGAGGCCAGAATGATCTGCAGAATCCACCAGAAAAACAATCTCATTAATTGCTTGGAGATAATTTTTTCAAACCTGACATGCTTGCTTGTGTCCACCAAGATCAAGAGTTGTAAAAGTCATTCCAGCAATTAATAGCTTTTCTGATGTCGGATGTAGTGTTGGAACATGTTGACCCAATCTGTCATCTTTGAGCATGTGAAGAAGAGTGGTTTTGCCTGCGTTGTCCAAACCGAAAAATACAAGTTTTCCAAATTTCTTGTAGAGTCCTAGGAACTGGAGCACACTGCTGAAGCCATTGTAGATCCACTCAAAGAGGAAAGACATTATTCATGCTTATTATGGCCTGAAGGGCTCCTCCAGCAAAGGTGGGTGGCCCAGGCCCTCCCTCAGAGCACACCCCAAATATTTTCAAATATGAAAACCTACTTACTCTTTAGAGGTAAGGAAGGTACTTTAAAAAATTTATTTTATTTTATTTAAGTTCTGGGATACATGTGTGGGATGTGCAGGTTTGTTACATAAGTAAACGTGTGCCATGGTGGTTTGCTGCATCTATCAACCCATCACGTATGTATTAAGCCCAGCATGCATTAGCTATTTTTCCTGATGTTCTCCCTCCCCTCTCCACCCCCAGACAGGCCCCACTGTGTGTTGTTCTCCTCCCTGTATCCATGTTTTCTCATTGCTCAGCTCATCATTCCATGAGTGAAAACATGCAGGGTTTGGTTTTCTGCATAATGGTTCCTGCATAATGGCTTCCAGCTCCATCCATGTCCCTGCAAAGGACACGATCTTGTTCTAAAGGTACTTTAAAAAAAGTACTTTATAGGGTTGCCACTCACTCTATAAAGCTGTGAAACTTTGTTCTCTGTACAGATAATAGAGTTGAAATTTCTTGGTAAGGGTCATTATAGCAATTCCTTAGTGGGTATGCTTCCCTCTAACTTCCTTGCCATAATAAAATGAAATGATAAATTTTGGCACCTGTTATTTATAATGGACTCAGGTCTGAGAGAAGCCAAGGAAACTGAATCTGCCTTAACAATTTTATAAAAATTTCCTTGGATCACAAGGAGGAAATTAAGATTATTATTTTAGGTGCCAAGATCTAATTTTCTTTTATTTATAGTTTTTCTCAAGATATTATTTCTTTAGATTTCTGCTACCATAGAGCCATCATAATCCTAGTTCCACATACAGACAAAAGAAGTCTTCAATAATTTCTTCCACAATAACCCAACACAGTATAGACTTTTTACCTTCCATTGACTACATTAAAGTTCCTCATTTTATTTAAACCATAAAAACATTGTGTCAAGAAGATATTAACATACATTAATGTTATTAAAACATGATTAAAAATCATGGAATCTGGAATTTTGAAAATATGGGTCCTGAAAACTTTTGGCCATGGGCTTGTTTTTAAAGTAATTGCTTTTTTCACCCATGGTTCACAATTAGCAGCAGATCTAGCAATCTGGAATCCTTCTAGCCAAGTTCACACTGATCATCTCAGGCTTGTTCTTTGCTCCCACTTTTGTTTTCATCATTTGCTGCATTCTATAACTATATTCAGCTTCTGGTCCTTTATTTTTTAAAACAATATTTAATTGACAATAAAGATTGTATATATTCAAGGTGTGCAGTGTGATGATTTGATATACGTATACCCTTTGTTTTTATTTCTTTTCTGTCTGAATCCACTCCCACCCAATTCATTATTGACATTAATGAATACATTTGACTTATTCTCGGTAACCCTCAGCTTTATGTAGGGATACAGTATATATATATATATTTTTTTTCCCTATTATAGCTTTAATTTTAAAACATGATCCTTTCTGATGGTATTAGTTTCCTTACATCATCCTGCTGGTGTGGAAGTGAAAAGTGAATGATAAATTCTTACTACACAGTTAATCTAGTTAATGAAACTATCATTCTCAGCAAACTAACCCAAGAACAGAAAACCAAACACTGCATGTTCTCACTCATAAGTGGGAGTTAAACAATGAGAACACATGGAACAGGGAGAGGAACATCCCACACTGGGGCCTGTCAGGGATGGAGGACTGGGGGAGGGATAGCATTAGGAGAAATACCTAATGTAGATGACAGGTTGGTGGGTGCAGCAAACCACCATGGCACATGTATACCTATGTAACAAACCTTCACATCCTGCACATGTACCCCAGAAAAACTGTAATAATAAAAAAAGGTAAAATAGCGATATAAAATAGAAATTTATGAGTATATACTGATAAAAATATAAAAAATGAATACATGAAGGGGGAAAAGGGAAAACTCTTAATGGCACATCAGTTAATAAATATAGAGGGCATACTAGGATTGGAGAATTATTAATAGATGTTAAAATTAGTGGGTGAAAGTTTAAGACATTTACATAGTTATGCTGTCTGCCACAAATTACTTATTAATTTCTCAGGAAAAAGGCATAATGAGATCTGGGGGACACCATGTTAGTCAAGTGACTAAAGTTAACAGCATCGATTTTAAGACAAACTATCCTTATACACTTTTCTGAAATGTTGCATCATTATTGGCTCCTGAATGGGAGAAAATATAAAGAACATTTTGGAGATAATTAACAAGATCTGAATATGAACTATTGATTACATAATAGTATTATATGACTGTAAAATGTCCCAGTTTTTATGATTGTACTGGCTATGTATGGAAGTTAATGTCCTTAGCAACTATACACTAAAGTGTATGTAGTAATAAAAAGGTTGGGAAAAATTTCATAGATATGAAAACTACATTTATATATTACATATGTGTAAAAGTAAGGCAAATGTAAATGAATGATGACTCTGGAAAAGGGTATTTAAAGTTCTGTATTATACTTGCAACTTTAAAAATTACATTAAAAATACATTATAAATGTAAAATGTAGTAAACTACATTAAATAAAAAGATGACAATAAAAAGAACACTTGTGGTTATGATACTTCCTGCCAGATCAAGGCCTTAGCATCTACTGTTTTGTCTACTCTGAAGAATTTACTACCTCACTTATAGATCTGAGCCTAAATGACACTTCCCTAGAAGAGCTTTCCTTGAACCTTTCCTGGTTTAAACTAATCACCCATCCATTTTATTCATGAAGCCTTGTCATTTTTACTTTATAGTACTTAGTACAACTTGTAATTACATGTTTAGTATTATTATTTGTTTTCTTTCTCCCACTAGACTATAAAGTTTGTGAGGGAAGGAATTGTGTCTGTCTTATTCACTAACAAATACTCGGCAAATAGCAAAATCTGTATGTATAGTAAGCGATTGAAAAACATTAGGCAAATTTATAACTATTTTAATATCTGTATATACTATATATCTATATATAATATCTTTGCTCTGGATGTGCACTTAGGAAGGCAGAGAAAATTTAAGTGTCTCTGATTTAGGTGGTATGTGATAATAATGTAGATACAAGTAATATAAAAATATTTTAGAACATTGATGGTGATTCAAATTTTAGAGCTCAACCCATCTTATTTTTGTTATTTAAGTTACTAATGCCCCCCAAAGTATAAATATTTATAAAATTATTTTTAAGAAGACTTTGGGAAATTATTAATGGTAAGCTTGAAGGTTGGAGTAGATATTTCTAAAATTAGTTGCCAAATTTATAAATACATTAATAAAAATTTCACTATCAATAATTTTTATTTCAAATAAAATTCAACTTTAGGTTATTATGGCTTTAAGATAGTGTCTAATGGGAAGCAAATAAACATTAATGCAAGACTTTTCAAGGTGAAATAGACTTAGAGCACCAGTTTTATGATGTTTAGACTTTTTCCTAATACTTAAGAAATTGTATGATGAAATCAGAAAATACAGAAAAATAAGAAGCCTGGAATAAAAATTTCCTGATATCCTGTCACTTACCTCACCACAGTTAGCTTGGTGAACTTATTTCTAGTGTTTTCTTACACATATAGGTATACATAAAATTAGGGTCATGTTCTAAGTGTAGAATCGTTTCTTGAGTTTTCTCCACCACTTAACAGTGAGTATTTCTCCATAATATTATTTTTTTTAAAAAAAATGGCCAATTAACATATGCTGGTAAACAAGTCCATCATAAAGGCTTAAACCAACAAATATTTCATTTTTGCTTATGTTTTGTGTTTATTGAATGTTGCTAGGGACTTGTCCATGTCATTGTGCATTAGGGATCCAAACTGATGAAGTAGACACTATCCAAAGTTCTCTAGATTGTTGTGATAGAGGGAAATAAAAGTTGCAAAACACACTCTGCCCTTAAAATGTCTTCCCAGAAGTTAAACAATCACTGTAACCACTGGGCAGTTCTTGTGAGGCGTTCCAAATGTGAGTTTGGAAATGTCCCTATATCCCACTCATTGAAAAGTAGCTCCTCCATCCATTGTTCTTCATAACCCTCGGGTTCCACTCAGTTGTTAGGTTCATTATCTGCCTTCTAAGTTATTGCAGGTGATAGTTTATGAAATGTTTCCTTATTGTATAACATGGATCACTTTATCTCCCTTCCTCCCTCCCTCCCTTCCTCCCTCCCTTCTCTTTTTCCTTCCTTCCTTCCTTCCTTCCTTCCCTTTTTCCTTCCTTCCTTCCCTTTTTTTTCTTCTTTCCCTTCCCTCCCTCCCTCTCTCTTTCTCTTTCTTTTCTTTCCTTTCTCTCTTTCTTTCTTTCTCTTTCTTTTCTTTCTTTTTTCTCCTCTTTCTTTCACCCTCCCTGTCTTTCTTTCTTCTTTCTTTCTTTTTCTTTCTTTCTCTCTTTCTTCTCTTTCTTTCTTTTTTTTGAGACAGGGTCTTCTCTGTCTGTACTCTGCAGTGGTGTGATCTTGGCTCCCTGCTGCCTTAACCTCCCAGGCTCAGGTGATCCTTCTGCCTCAGCATCCCCTAGTAGCTGGGACTACAAGTGTTTGCTCCTACACCCAATGAATTTTTGTATTTTTTTAGAGATGAGTTTTCACTACTTTGCTCAGGCTTGTCTTGAACTCCTGAGCTCAGGCAATCTGCCCACCTTGGCCTCCCAAAGTGCTGGGATTACAGGTGTGAGCCACCAAACCTGGCACCATAATTTCAATCTCTCTCATTTTTTATTAGACTTTTACTTTAGGTTCAGGGGTACATGTGCAGGTTTGTTACGTAGGTAAATCGTATTTCATAGGGTTTGTTGTATAGACTATTTCACCACCCAGGTGATAAGCATAGTATATGATAGGTAGTTTTTTAGTCCTTAAAAAACTAAACCACCCTCAAGTAGGCCTCAGAGTCTACTTTTCCCTTCTTTGTGTTCATGTGTACTCAGTGTTTAGTTCTCACTTATGAATGAGAGTGTGAGGTATTTGGTTTTCTGTGCCTACGTTACTTTGCTTAAGAAAATGGTCTTCAGCTCCATCCATGTTCCTGCAAAAGGCATCATCTAATTCTTTTTCTGTGGCTGCTTAGTATTCCATGGTGTATATGTAGCACATTTTCTTTAGCCAGTCTACCCCAGGAGAGGCCGGCAGACAAGGGAGCACTCAGATTAGACTGGTCCCATCCCACAGGTAAGATAGCCCTGCTCCGTTCAGGTCTGGCAGTTACCATAGGCTGAGACCACCTAGAGGAGCATGGTGAGCTTTGGGGGAATGGGCGTCTCTGGCCATGCTCCACTGCAGCCGTTCCTGTGTCAGACCCTCTGGGCTTTTCACAGGCTGAAGTCCTGTCCTTGCCACCTTTCCAAATAGCTCTCCCTGCCAGCTCAAGTGTCCGCGGGGTCATGGGGTCTCCTGCAGTTGGGATTCTGGAGGTCTGTGGCGAGAGTGGCCACTCCTCGTGTGTTCAACGGACCTCTTCCCCAGGAGTCACTGCGGGCCAAGAACATGGGCCAGAAACGAGTCCGGGTACTCTGCAACTCCGTGCAAAGTTCCGAGGTTTCTCACCCTCCAGCCCAGGTTCTATGTCCTCCCTCTGTCCACCCTCAATGCCTTCCCTCCGAAGATCGGCTCGGAGTATGCCAGTCTTCCTGATATCCTGGTCTGTTGTGGAAGATGTTCTTCCTGGCTGTGTCACTGACCATCTTGGCCCCTCTCAGTTTCAAGCTTTACTATCATATCCCTCATCATCTGCCATGTGATCCTTCTGCCAGTGCCTCATATTTTAATTTCCTAACATTTGTTTCAGGCTGATTGAGAACCTACCTGGAACATTGTTTTGATTGCCAGAGGGAAAGAGAACATGGCAGAGTATGTACTAGATTTTGAAGTCATCAAAAAATAACCCACATCATTTCTCTTCACATTTTATTGGCAAATCATATTAAACAGCCAGGTCTGCATTCGATAGGACAGGGATGTGCAATTTTACCATCTGCCTAGAAGGGGAGAAAAAATAAAATATTTATAAACATTCCTAATGTATTCAATTTATGAAAAATACTCTACTTTCAAAATACTCAAGGAAATAACAAATAGGAACTTGATAATGTTTCTGCTTCTAAAATTGGCATATTCATCAAAAGATGAAACTCTCAGAGTTTGCAAAAGCTCGTGAAGCAACCATTCTCATTTGCTATATACAGTGATCTATCTGGGAATGTGGAATGTTATAAAATTTCTACAGCACAATTTGACCATATCTATTAACTCTTAGATCTTCTAAGAAATTTATAATTAGAGCCAGTAATTCAGTTTTTCAGAATATAAACTGACATTTAGACACAAATTCATATTGAATTATTGGCAGTAGTAGTAACAATAATCAAAACAAGGAGTGTAAATATGCTCAACAATAGGAAAGTGGTTAAATAGATTTTAATACACTTCCTTGGTGAAATTAAATTTGCAGCTTTTTTTTTTTTTTTTTTTTTTTTGAGATGGAGTCTCGCTCTGTCGCCCAGGCTGGAGTGCAGTGGCGCAATCTCGGCTCACTGCAAACTCCGCCTCCTGGGTTCACGCCATTCTCCTGCCTCAGCCTCCCGAGTAGCTGGGACTACAGGCGCCTGCCACCATGCCCGGCTATTTTTTTGTATTTTTAGTAGAGACGGGGTTTCACCGTGTTATCCAGGATGATCTCGATCTCCTGACCTCGTGATCCACCCGCCTCGGCCTCCCAAAGTGCTGGGATTACAGGTGTGAGCCACCATGCCCGGCCCAATTTGCAGCTATTTCAATTATGTTTTAAATACCAGAAAACATAGGAATATTTTCTGATATAATGCACACGAAAAAACGCAAACTCCGCTGGTAGTGAGTTGGGAGAAGTGCATAAAGGTAGATTGGGTAACAACAGAGATCCAGGTAAAAGGTGGATCCCTTTGTGTTCTTTCATTTTTTGTGTTTTCTGAAGATATGATCGATATAGGAAAAATGATTCCCATTAACATTTCTATAATTAGCTCTATAATTAAGGGGTCATTCCACATGCCTGAGGTAGAACTTGGGACAAATATGGAATTTGACAAAAGGGAAAAACAAGGAGAAATGCTATCCAGGGGAATAAAGAGATGAATTGAAATAGAATTTGAAATAAAACTCAACAGACATTTCTTCAGTCTCTTCTTTTTCCACTTATTTGAAATGTCATCTAAATATTATTATAGTTATATATAATATAATTGTAATTGTATATAAGATAATTATAATTATATAATATAATTATATATAATATAATAATATATAATATAATAATATATAATATAATTATATATAATATATCATTATCATAATTATATGTGATATAGAACTATATATAATATATAATTATATTACATCGTCAACCTCATCTTGCCTGGTTTTGTATTGTTTAACTGCTAAATTACTTGTAATGATGAAATGCTTTGTTTTGTAAAGCTTTCTCTGTTGCCTGAAATGTTGCCTCATCTGTGTCCTTACATTACTAACTGTAAACCATCATTTAAATGTCTCAGTTTAAGAATCATTGCCTTCTGGAACTAGCACATTTCTTCAGCAGAGGAACTGTGATATTTCTCCTCTGGACTACTGCTGTCTTGTGAACAATAAATGTTTATTGAATGACTACCACAGATAAAGAGTAAGCTAATTCAGGTCAATATGAGAAAAAAGGATTCCCATTAACATTTCTATAATTAGCTCTATAATTTAGAAAAGATGCCACATACCTGAGGTAGAACTTGGGACAAATAAGGAATTTAACAAAAGGGAAGAAAGGATAAATGCTATCCGGAGGAATAAAGAGATGAATTGAAAATAGAATTTGAAATAAAACTCAACTGACATTTAAGGTTTCCAGATTGAGATGCACACACTTAGCTGGTTTAAAACCAGCTAGATTGGTTGGGTGCAGTGGCTCATGCCTGTAATCCCAGCAATTTAGGAGGCTGAGATGGGTGGAGCACCTGAGGTCAGGAGTTCGAGACCAGCCTGGCCAACACAAAGAAACCCCGTTTCTACTAAAAATACAAAAAATTAGCTGGGCATGGTGGCGGGCATCCGTAATCCCAGCTACTTGGAAGGCTGAAGCAGGAGAATCACTTGAACCCAGGAGGTGGAGGTTGCAGTGAGCTGAGATCGTGCCATTGCATTCCAGCCTGGGCAACAAGAGTAAAATTCATTCTCAAACAAAACAAAAACAAAGCCAGCTAGATTGAAGCCAAATTACATACCAAAAACAGTTCTGAAAAGGTGCATATGATGAATTTTATCAAGAGATCAGAGGGTTCAAAGTGTTTGAAGACTTTGATTCTGATGGAATAATTTTTGGCTTGGAATAACTGGTAATTTAATTATAAGGATATTAAAATCCCTAACTAAAGGCGTAGACAGGATGGTTATAGAATAATAGTATACAAGTGGAAGGCAATCCATCAAAGTCTCCTGACTACCCTGAAGTTGATAGGAAATTGACATGACTTGTCTCAAGGAACAGAGTACATTGGGGGAACTTCTGAAAAGAAAGGAGTTTCTAACTTTGAAGACATGTCATATGGGTTCAGCATTGCTTCCTAAACAGAAGAAGACTTTTCTTTCTTTCCTTTTTTTTTTTTTTTTTTTTTTTTTTTCCTGAGACAGATTCCTACTCTGTCACCCACGCTGGAGTGAGTGGCGCGATCTGGGCTAACTGCAACTTCTGACTCCTGGGTTCAAGCGATTCTCTTGCCCCAGCCTCCTGAGTATCTGGGATTACAGGCGTGTACCACCATGCCCTGCTAATTTTTTTGTACTTTTAGTAGAGATGGGGTTTCGCCATGTTGGCCAGGCTGGTCTCGAACTCCTGACCTCATGTGATCTGCCCACCTTGGCCCCCACAAAGTACTGGGATTACAGGCGTGAACCACCGCGCCCAGCCAACAGAGGAAGGATTTTCTAATTGTTGACAGAATTTAGTGAAATCACCAGAGCCTGGAAAATAGGAAAATGAGTTCAAAGGTCATTACCATCATTGAAGATAAGGAAAGACTAAGAAGATTCTCATCACAATGGAGTACTTCTTATTTCTTACAGAAAAAGATTCTTGGCATCAGCCTCTTGAAGGCCTCCTTCATATCTTTATTTCTAAGGCTGTAGATGAGGGAGTTCAACATGGATGTGATGATTCCATAGAAGAGGGAAACCATCTTTCCCCAGTCCTTAGAGGTGGATGAAGGTGGTTGAAGATACATATAAATGGCTGTTCCATAAAAGAGGGACACCACAATCATGTGGGACCCACATGTCCCAAATGCTTTTTGCCGTCCTTCTGCTGACCTGATTTTTAATACTGCTTGAGCTATGAAGCCATAGGAGATGAGGATCAATGTCACTGGAATTAGAAGAATTAGTACACTAAAGAAGAAGAGCTCAGCCTCAATAGGCTTTGTGTCAGCACATGACAACTTGAGAAGTGCAGGCACCTCACAGAAAAAGTGGTCCACTTCCTGGTGACCACAGCGTGGCATGTTAAGAGTCAAGGAAGACTGCAGCACTGAGTTGCCGAAACCAATGAGCCATGAGAAGGCTGCCATCCTTAGGCAGAACCAATAATTCATGATGACTACATAGTGGAGGGGTCTGCAAACAGCCACATATCTGTCAAAGGACATAACAGCCAGAAGGAGACACTCTGTAGCACCTAGGGCCAGGAAGATGATGAGGTGGGCCACACAGCCAGCATAGCTGATGGTCTTTTTGTTGCAACCAATATTTACCAACATATGAGGGACTGTAGTTGTGGTATAGCAGAGATCTAAGATGGAGAGATTAGTGAGAAAGAAATACATGGGAGTATGAAGTTTGGGATCCAGAATGCACACCATCATGATGGACACATTGCCAAATATGGTGATTGTGTATGATATTAACAGGACCACAAAAAGGGGCATTTGTAGCCAAGCCCTATCTGAGAAGCCAAGTAGTATAAACTCTTTTGGGGAGCTCTCATTTTCCCAATTCATGATGACTCACTTATTTCGCACTCCTAAAAAAATGTAAGATAGGAAAGCAATCAATGTTTGTTTATTGAATACTCTTACTGGAGCTGAATTAAATTTAATGAATAGCTCAGCATCAAATACAATTTACAGTCAAGTGGATAAAGCCCTTGTAAAGTATAATATGGTTATGTTTAAGCTTAAAAGTAGTTCCTGTGTTTTCAGTAGTGTTTAAATTACTTTAAAGAAAATCATTACATTTAAATGACATAAAGTATGTAACATATGCATAACACATGGAAAATTGTGAGTTCTCAATGCATTTTATGTTCTCTCCTCTTCTTACCTCCTAACCTATCTTAATAAACAGTTTAGAAAGAAATATTACTTTTACTCCAATTATTTTAAATTTGGCCTGAAAATGCTGAGTAATATAGAGGGTATAAGAGTTGAATCTAAATCTGCAATTGATCTAAAGAAATTTTGCTTCTTTTAGTAACATCTTTACGTGTTTTTTTGAGTTGTGTCTGTCTCCTAAATGCCATGCATGTAGGTCCATTTCCACAAAGAACTACCGTGGGTATTAGTAATAAAATTATGGCTACTTGTGATATATAGTAATGACCACAGATGTCATCTCCCCATCTGCAAATACCTTAATTAAAATAGCAAAACTGATAACATAATTGTTGCTTTACTTAACATGTGCCAGAAACTGCTCAGTGTGTGAAATACATTCTTTGTAATTCTCATCAAACCCCTCACAGTCATGGTTTGCATTTTATTGCTTCTGTGATTCAGTAAGAATAAATAATTTGCACACTCATTATTGGTGAGGTCAAGACTAACACCTAGGATTTAAAGATCATTCTTTCTTTTATACCGTATTTCCCCCTAAATACACAGATAGTACAATAAGAATGACTGCATACAGCACAAAAGTGGTCATAAATTAAAATAGAAACAAACCAAAAGTCATATATTCAAGTTGATTTTCTTCAGTCTGTAAAAGTCATCAGTTATTTAGTTATATTACCTAAGTGCACCTAAGTTTCTTCAGTCTACTTTGCATGTTTAAATGAAATGTCATCGAGGTGGTTTACACCATTTGAATTTGCAAGCATAAAAATAGAAAGATAGACTGAAGAGAGAAGAGAAAATAAGTATTGACACAATTTACCACAGAATAAGATAACTTTTCCAGAGTAAAAACACTGATATATAAAGTATAATTTGATAATGGAATGAATAAATGAAAATGAACAGAGATGACCTTGAGATTTTTAACTTCTTCCATTATATATGATTTTTTTTAGCTATAGATACACATTATTTTTTGGCAAATAACAGTAATACACCTTTGGTTGAAAAATAGAAGAGAATATGAGATTAGGCTTTTTTGAATGTCCATGTAAATTTACAAAATGATAAATATGTAAGGTAATACATACATTAGATAACTTGATTTAGCCACTTTATAATGTACACATATATCAAAACATCATGTTGTACACTATAAATATATACAATTTTTACTCATTAATACAATTTTTTATATCAGAAAAAGACTACACAGAAAGATAAAACATAAATGGCAAGATAGAAAAATATACAATGTTTATGGAAAAAATGGTTATTATATTAAAATATAAATAATTATTACATAATAAATAGAAAAAGATCAAAAGTCCAATGGAAAAAAATGAGCAATGGACATAAATAAGCAGTTTGGGGAAGAAAACAACATAAAATGACAGTGAAAGTATAAAAGATTATAACTTTTTCATTATTGAAGAAACACAAATAAAAACAAGAAGAAAGTATCACATTGTCTTCCTACTTAGTAGCATTAAAAAAAATCACTGTTAAAGGTTAGCTGTTAGGTACAGTGCCTCTGGAGCCAGAATCTGCCAGGGTTTTATTACTGGATTGTGTGATCCTGGGCAATGAATGAACATTCTTGTGCTACATTAAAAAACAATCTCTGACTTGATAAAAAGAGAGTATTGTGAAGCTCAAGTGAGACAATGTATACACATCTGAACTTAGGACCCTGTCCCAAGCATACTAAGCATTTAATGAATGTGAGCTTGATATCAATAGCAGTATCATTAATACTAATCACTAATAAGTCATTAATAGTAATACTATATCATTATCTCAGCTTGTCTTGTATATGAGAAAACAGAAAATTTACTATTGGTGGTTCAAGTGATTGTTATAATTTCATAATATTATAACATGAAATTATTGAATTTCATATTATCACTTTGTCTTTGTTTCTAGCATAATATACTGAGTACATAGTTTTCCAGTAAATGGAAGTTAAATCAATGTAGTAGGTGATATCTGGTTATCTAAAGGGCATGGAATAAAAGAGGACCCTATTCAGTAGCTGTTATTTTCTACTCCTATTTTTTCACGTCCTCTTCTCTTCACATTTTATATGGCACTGATAATTTCTCTTATTTTCTTCATATTTTATATGGCGCCAATTTCTCTTTTACGTTATCAGAAAATGAACTTACCTCTTGACAAGAACATGTTGATTCCACTGTCACGTTGACTTTTTGTCCTATTTCTATTTTCTACATGAATCAAAAGAAATCTTAAATCCCACTGACCGTTTTTATGTACGGAGATATAATGAGCAAACCATTCAAAAGGGTGAAAGGATACGAAGGATTTTTGGAATCACTGAAAATACTTCATATTAATTTCAAAGTTCCCAGGAAACAAATTGGGCATTCTGATTATTTAACATGATGCAACTCAGAGGCAGGGATGTAGGTGAGATGTTCTTGAGAGATCCTTCCCACTCATGGTAATATAATACACTGTATTAGACGCCACTCACCTTTTTTCTAAATGTCCAAGAGATATTCACGCCTTTCTTTGTGCTGTGTTTCAAAGGAAGTCTGGTTCAAAGACAGATTAATAAATGCAGTTGAGTTTTTGAATTTTCAATCTTTACGACATTCTAACTCAACTACCTTTTGCCCACTGACCAAGAATGAAATTAGCATGAAACCTGGACTGCATCAAGAACATGTGAGAAAAATACTTATGAGGAGAGGAAAATGTGTATAGTTAGTGTGTCTTCAGTCATTGGGGCATTTTTGACTGACATGGGCTCTCCTCACCAGGTTCCTAGTGGATTTCTACAACGAGAAGTTGACTTTATAGACATCAACAACATTGGAAGTGTCATGGAAAGAAAGTTATGCCTTTAAATAAAGCCAACCAATATTTATTAAGGGAGTACCACTCACACAATTCTGTGTCCTCTTTTTAGCCCTAGAGATTCTAGAGTCCCTCAAGTTTAATTGGTCATTATGTCCAGAGAGTCAATAAGTCAACTCTATTCCTAACTGGGCTGGTTGCATAATACTACCACATATGTCGTTCACAAATTCTAAAACTAGGGTGAAGATTAGAGTAACAAAAATAAACAATGAAAAATAAATTTAAAGTTGTTTAATTAGGAAAGCACAAGGTTTAATGAACTTATAGCCCCAAATTCCTTTTAAATAGTTGCAAGGTCAAATAGGGAGTCCTATGATGGCGTATAGGGAAAAATGATATTTCTATTTTCACTGATTTTAGTAATAAGTGTTTGTAAACTAAAGCTACCAGAGATCTGTAGGTTAAAAATTATGTCATACAAAGTCACTTAACATATTAATATACACATTGAAATTTAAGGTTAGCATTAATTCACTGGGTCAGAACACACAGAAATTACATGAAATTGCAATAGGGGGAATAGTTTTTGAAAGAAGCAGCTGAGGGCTGGGGCGGTGGCTCACGCCTGTAATCCCAGCACTTTGGGAGGCCGAAGCGGACGGATCACCTGAGGTCAGGAGTTCAAGACCAGCCTGGCCAACATGGTGAAACCTAGTGTCTACTAAAAATACAAAAAATTAGCTGGGCATGGTGGTGGGTGCTTGTAATCTCAGCTACTCGGGAGGCAGAGGCGGGACAGGAGAATCGCTAGAACCTGGGGAGACAAGATAAGTCATTGCCCTCCAGCCTGGGCAACAAAAGCGAAACTCCATCTCCAAAAAAAAAAAGCTGATTTATGCAAGTTATGACTTAATATGTGACTTAATAAGTGCTTATCCTAAGATCTTAGTAAAATAAAGAAGTTGTAATTGAATTGAGCATCAGCCTAGATATAATCTTAAGGAAACTAATGTGCTCGTATTTTAATGTATCTATTTTTCCTCATTTTTCTTTTTGTGTAGAATATGATCATTTTCTAAATTAGGACATTTTCTTAGCCTGTGATTTTTGTAACTATATGACATCTGTTGTAGCTAATAATTTATATATAAGTTTAATAGACATATATACATACTTTCTATATGTAATATATATTTGTAATTAGTTTTCAAATACAATTTGTTGTGCTTGGATTATAATAGAAAAGTTATTTTATTTTTTGTGGTTTTACTTTTTTAAAAAAATTTTACCTTAAGTTCTGGGATACATGTGCAGAACATGCAGTATTGTTACATAGGTATATATGTGCCATGGTGGTTTGCTGCACCTATCAACCTGTCATTTAGGTTTTAAGCCCCTCATGCATTAGGTATTTGTCCTAACGCTCTCCTCCCTGTGCCGCCACCCTTCAACAGGCCCCAGTGTGTGATGTTCCCCTTCCTGTGTCCACGTGTTCTTATTTTCAACTCCCACTTATGAGTGAGAACGTGTGGTGTTTGGATTTCTGTTCCCGTGTTAGTTTGCTGAGAATGATGGTTTCCAGCTTCATCCATGTCCCGGCAAAGGACATGAACTCATTCTTTTCTATGGCTACATGGTGTATATGTACCACATTTTCTTTATCCAGTCTGTCACTGATGGGCATTTGGGTTGGTTCCAAGTCTTAGCTGTTGTAAATGGTGCTGCAATAAACATATGTGTGCATGTGTCTTTATAGTAGAATTATTTATAATCCCTTGAGTATATACCCAGTAATGTGATTGCTGGGTTAAATAGTATTTCTGGCTCTAGATCTTTGAGAAATCGCCACACTGTCTTCCACAATGGCTGAACTAATTTACATTTCCACTAACAGTGTAAAAGTGTTCCTATTTCTCCCCAGCATTGCCAACATCTGTTGTTTCCTGACTTTTTTTTTCCCAATGAAATGATTTGAATGGACACTTAAAACTGTTCATGAGTATACAAGATGATAAAGAAAACATTTATTAAATGAATAAAAGCTAAAAAGTGAAATGTTACAAGCAAATATCAAATATCCCGAATCTCTAGAATTTTATTGTTGAATATGCCTTAGTTATTACAAGTGGTCTTTATTCTTGGTGACTTAGGGATTCCCAAGAAATGTGCAATCACTCCTGGCAACTCAAAGTAGTAATAAGTTAACCTCAAGAGAACAATCTTGGTTAAAAAAAAATTTTAAGTGTATTTTATAAATTATTATTATTTTTATTTTACTTTAAGTTCTGGGATATATGTGTAGAACGTGCAGGTTTGTTACATAGGTATACATGTGCCATAATGGTTTGCTGCACCTATCAACCTGTCATCTTTAAGCCCTGCATGCATTAGGTATTTGTCCTAATGCTCTCCCTCCCCTTGCCCCCCACCCCCTGACAGGCCCCGGTGTGTAAAGTTCCCCTCCCTGTGTCCATGTGTGCTCATTGTTCAACTCTCACTTATGAGTGAGAACATGAGGTGTTTGGTTTTCTGTTCCTGTGTTAGTTTGCTGAGAATGATGGCTTCCAGCTTCATCCGTATCCCTGCAAAGGACGTGAACTCATTCTTTTTTATGGCTACATAGTATTCCATGCTGTATAATTGTATTAATAGCACATCCAGGGGTGCAGCATTGCTACATGTCTTCTCTATCCAGGCACACTGATCGATCAGGGTAATTTATTTATTCATTGTTTGCAAGGTTCTATGCCAGCCAGCCAGTGCCAAGGACTTCAGAGATAAGCCACAATACCTGCCTATGTGTCTGGTTGGAACATGAACATGGAAACAAACCATTTAATCATTTACTCAATAAATCTTTATGTCATGGTGATAAGTGTCAGGCACTGTCATGTGCACAGGAGATATATTGATAATCAAAAGAAATAAAGTCTCTGTTCTAATGAAGCTTACATACTAGTAAGGAGATAGAAAACTAATAATAAGTAAATAGATATATAATACAATGTCAGATAGTGATAAATGCTATGAAGAAAAAGAAAGCAGGGTAAGAGAATCAAAATTAGCTGAGGCTGTTACTTTAGACAGCATGGTCAGTCAGTTTCTGTGAGGGGGCAACATTTGACCTGAACAGAGTTAGGGGTTCTCATTCACTTGGAAGATTCTAAACTGAGATTTCGAGTTTGAATTTTTTTTGAAATGTTGCCAGTTAATGCATCAATAATTTATCAGCCGGTGTTCATTATATAACGTTATACTTTAACAAGGACACTAAGCACTAAACTATTTAAAGATCTTCGTCTTTACAAAGGTACTACAAAGGAAACTACAAAGACTGTAGTTTCTGAAGTTAAGAAATGCAGACCGATCCTTTGTTTCTGCATTCATCCATTTGCATTGCTATAAAGGAATACCTAAGACTGGGTAATTTACAAAGAAAAAAGGTTTATTTTGGCTCACAGTTGTTTCCTGACTTTTTAATAATATATATATTTTATATATATTATATATATATATATATTTTTTTATCATTGGGATTAAATTTTGGCCTGGTGTTCACTTTCTTTATATATTTATGAACAATTTAATAATGAGGTGAAATAGCCTTAAGTCTGATATATGATGCACCCACATATAAATGGAAATGGCATGCACAAAGACACTTTACTATTGGAACTGTATTGGAAAATTTATGAAATTTTAGGTAAAATTGCACCTAAAATTGTGTTATTAGTGACTGTAAGTAGCAATGCTAAATTTATTGTACTTGATGAATGAATGTATTTAGGCTAGTCATGGTTACTTTGGTTTAAATGTCTAAATAACATCTTTAGTTTTAAAAATGTGTTTGTAATTTGTACTATTGACAGGAGGATATTCTTGGACTGCAGCGGTTATTGGCAATGTGTGATTTGTGTTTTCTTACTTTATAGAATTATCTAATGTGATATGCTGATTTTTACAGGTAATATTTAGATATTTCCAATAATTGTATATTTGACAACCTACTAAAATGATTTGCTTTGGGAAAAAACTGAAAAACAATACTCAAACATAGGCTGCCTGTAAGAGGCTAACTTTAACTTAAAGAACACACATTGACTGAAAAAAATATTTCATGCAAGTAGAAACCAAAAGACAGCAGGGGTAGCTCTACTTATATTAGACAGACTTTAAGTCCAAAACTGTAAAAAGAGACAGAGAAAGTCATTACATGATAAAAGGGTCAATTCATCAAAAGGACGTAACAATTGTAAATATATATACACCTAATACTAGATCATCTAAATGTATAAAGAAAGTATTAATAGACCTAAAAAGAAACAGACTGCAATACAGTAATAGCAGGGTTTTTCAACACTTCACTTTCAACAATGAACATGTCATCTAGACAGAAATCAATAAGGAAACACTGGACTTGAAACGCACATTAGATCAAATGGACCTAACAGACATATATAGAACATTCCATCCAACAGCAACAGAATACTCATTCTTCTCAAGTGCAAATGGGACATTATCCAGGATCAAATATTAGGGAACAAAATAAGTCTCCACAGTTTTAAGAAGATCGAAATCATATCAAGTATCTTTTCTGACCACAAAGTTATGAAAGTAGAAGTGAATAATAGGAGAAAATTTAAAATATTTACAAACGTGGAAATTAAACAACATGCTCCTGAATAAACAATGGGTTAAATAAAAAATCAAAAGCAAAATTAAAAAAAATCTTAAGACAGATGAAAATGAAAACACAACATACCACAACTTATGGCATGTAGCAAAAGAAGATATTAGCAAGAGGAATGTTTGTAGTAATAAATGCCTATATTAAAAAAGAAGAAAGATCCCAAACAACCTAATGTTACATTTCAAGAAACCAGAAAAAGAGAAGAGCAAACTAATCCCAAAGTTAGCAGAAGGAAGGAAATAACAAAGATCAGAGCAGAAATAAATAAGAAGCTAGAAAACAATAGAATGCATTCACAAAACTAAGACTTGAATTTTTGAAAAGATAAAAACAATTGGCAAAACTTGAGTAGACCAACTAAGAAGAAAAGAAGACTCTAATAAAGTCAAAAATGAAAGAGGAGACATTACAATTGATACTACAGAAGTACAAAAGCTCATAAAAGAATACTATGAACAATTTTACACCAACGAATAGGGTAACCTAGAAGAAATGGTTAAATTTCTAGAAACATAACAAAAATGAATCATGAAAAAAACAGAAAATCTGAACAGACTAATAATGAGTAAGGAGGTTGAATCAGTAATAAAAGTCTTCTACCAAACAAAAACCCAGAATATGATGGATTTTGCATTCATGGTTTGGAAGAATTAATATTATTAAAATATGTGTACTACCTAAAGTGATACACAGATTCAGTGCAATTTCTATAAAAGTTCAATGACTTTTTTGTTTCACAGAAATAGAAAAAGCAATTTAAAAATTCATATGGAATGACAAAAACCCCTAAGTAGCTGAAGCACTTTTGAGCAAAAAGAGCAAAGCTGGAGGCATCACACTACCTGTTTCAAAATATATTACACAGTTATAGTATTCAAAACAGAAAGGTAGTGGCATAACAACAGACACACGGACCAATGTAATGTGATAGAGAGCCCAGAGATAAACTCATGCATTTGTGGTTAACTGATTTTTGCCAAAGATGCCAAGAATGAACACACTATGGAGAAAGGGCAGTATCTTTAATAAATGATGCTGGGAAAATCAAATACCCAAATACAGAACAATGAAATTGAAACCTTATTTCACACCATATGCAAAAATCCTCTAAAAATGGTTTAAAGATTTAAATGTGTGACCAGAAAATGTAAAATTACTAGAAGAAAACATAGGGAAAAATGTTCTTGAAATTAATCTTGGCAATAATTTATTGGTGATGATCTCAATAGCACAGGAAACCAAAGCAGAAATAGACAAATGGGATTACCTCAAACCAAAAACCTTCTGTATAACAAAGTAAATAACGGATTGAAGAGACAACCCATGGACTGGGAGAAAATATTTACAAACCATACATGGCTAATATCCAAAATATGTAAGAAATGCAAACAACTTAAATTTGTTAGCAAGAAAACAAAGAACCCCTTTTAAAACTGAGCAAAACACTTAATGGACATCTTTCAAAAGATGACATAAAAGACTAACAGATACATAACAAAATTTCTCAACATCAAGGAAATACAAATTAAAACCACAATAAGATATCACCTCATACCTGTTAGAATGGCTATATCAATAAAATAAGAGTTAATAAGTATTAGCAAGGATGTGGAGAAGGGAATCCTTATATACTAATGGTAGTAATGTAAATTAATACAGCCATTATTGAAATCAGCATGGAGGTTCCTCAAAAAAAGATAGAATTACCATATGATCCAGCAACTATATTTCTGAGTACATAGCCAAAGAGATTGAAATTAATATGTTAAAAATATATTGGTAGATTTTCCTCTAATTTGGTCTTAACGTCTCTCTTTGAAGAGGAGCCAGAAACTCTAGCCCTGCTCTGATGGGCTCCAGTGGAGGTGGTTGTGGTTGTGGATGTTTTCAGTGTTTTTTTCGTGGAATACTTCTATATCCTGATGGAGAGCTAATGCCTAATTGTCCTATTTATGACCAGGTGTCCCTCTCACTGGAAACTCATTTTCACTGGCAGACACCCTTGTGGCTCTTGTCTGACTAGTGTGTCCAGTTCATTCCTACCAAGATAACCACTCTTTAAGAGAGCCTTGTCCAGAAAAGAAGTTAATTTCACGTATGTCAGTCACGCGAGACGCAAGTAAAAAAAAACACGTAATAGAAGTAGTTTTATTACTTAAAGATCCAGAGAGAAGAAGGAAACTTTCCTCACAGGCCTAACGGGAGAAGGGGCAGCCCTCAGAGACATGCATGCTCAACCAGTGGGTGGGTAGCAAGGGAGAGTGAGTGACAGCCGAGAAGGCCGAAGCCTTTACTGGGGTACACAGCATTTCCTAAGCAGGGAGTAACTGATTGCTGGGTTTAAAGCAAGCAGGCATGAGTTCTTGGGAGTTATGTTGTATTGAGAGGTGTTCACTACTGCAAGTCTGCAGTCCATGTGGGGTGTGGGGATCAGTGGGATAAGTCAAACAGGTTGTATCTAGGTGCTCCACAGGAAGGTGGAAACCAAGAGGCCAAATATCTGGATTGACCACCTGAAGAAACTGGGAGAGGAGAACTCGAAATTGTGTTAAGGGTGACTAAGCCCTGCTTCTGGTATGAGAAAGTTCAACTTATATTGAAAATAAACACTGAGGCAACATAAAATCATAAGAATTCACTACAGATATTTGCACTACCATGTTCATTGTAGCATTATTCACAATAGCTGAGATATGGAAGGAACTTAAATGCCCATCAATGGATAAACAGATAAATATATAAAAGGGATATAATGTGATATATATGAGCCACATTATCTATATAAAATGGAATACTATCCAGCCTTAAAGAAAAAAGGAAATTCTGTCTTTTCAACAACATTCATGAACCTGCAGGACATTATGCAAAGTGAAAGAAGCCAGACACAGAAAGACAAATACCACGTGATCTCACTCATATGTGGAATCTAAAAAAGATAAACTCATGCAAGTGGAGAGTAGAATATAGCTACCTTGGGGGTAGGGGATGGGGAAAGGGGAGATTTTAAACACAAGATATTTTTTAACCTTTTGCAGGAAAAATCTTGGAATTGAATTTAAAAGACAACTGGGATGGCATAAATAATATAGGTCAGTCTCAAAGAGCACGTCATTAGTAAGGAATAGATATACAGTTTAGTCTTTATGTATTCTAGTTTTTCAGTTGAATGGCTCTGAAATCACTCCTTTTTTCCAGTTGTCTTGTAAATTTTACCCTTAGCCCCATGGAAAACTGAAAAAAAATCACATGGCTCAGTAAAACCCATTCCCTTTATTGTAAATATAACTCACAGCATCTTTTCCCATATTTGTAAGTGATAAATTCACTGTCATCACAGTAAGACTATAACATCATACTGAAGATATTTCTGTGAAGAGTTTTGTACTGAGAACACCACACCAGGACAACTTGAAGGGCATTAATTGCAACTTTGGGATTTATACTCCCAAAGGCCCCAGTCAATGAAAGAGTATCCCATTATTCTTTTTGGTTCCATAAAGATTCCATTTACTCTGGGATAAAGGGTCCATCCCCTGATACCTTGAATGCTCTAAAGTATTCCCACATTCTGCTAAAAAGCAGATCTTTTGGACAAACTCAGGCTCTCTTTTCTGTAGCAATGACAATCACAGTTATTTCCAGACTCTGTTCTCCATAGTTAGATTTAAAACATTGGCAAAAATGTTATAAGAAGGCAATTAGGTTGATGTTTCTAGGTTGCATGGCAACCAGAGAGCCCCTTCATCAGTTTATACATGATGAGGTCGTAGGCCAGGTAGAGAGTGACAGGGAACAGGGACAAACACAGGAAGGTCAGTACTGAAAGAAGTTGGCGCACTTCTTAAGGGGTGTACAGCTTCTGTATTTCAAAATTGCAGGAAGTGTAGATTTTAAATGTTCTTACTACAAAAAAATGATGTGTGTGAGGTGATAGGTACATTAACTAGCTTAATATAATCATTCTATGATGTATATACATATCAAAACATTACAATGTACTCCATACATATATACAATTATTACTAGTCAATGAAAAAGTAAGAAAACAAACCAGATATAGTATAAAGGAATGAATATGACACGAATTGGGAAAATGTCTCTTAGTAATAATTGGGGAAAGAAGAGACACTCAGCCATCCATTTTCCCTACAGTGTTTGATTTAAAAGAAGAGAGAAGATATTTTATTCCATAGTTCATAAAAGCTACATTTGATAGGGTCTTCATTTCCCTCTTTTCCTCCAAGAAGAAAATCGAAGCTGCAAACTTTTCTCTACGTGAGTTCTGGGTTTTTTTTTTTTTTTGTCCCTTATTTCCTATCCTTTTTATCGACTCTGGAAGAATGCTGAAAGATGGTTTATACAACAGAAAAATATCAGATTTCACCTTTTAATTACTGTAGTAAGGAAGTCAGGCAGCTGCATTAGGAAAGAAAATTATACCTGCATTAGCAAAAGTATCCACAACATTTGAGTTCAAGTATCTTACAGAATATTACCTTTCAACCTAGCGAAATTTTTAAAAAAATTCTTGCAATTTTTCCATGATTTCTCAAAAGGTAATGATCATTTCATTATCAACAATATGGAAAAGTGTACAGATATCTTTGTACCTGTCTGGAGCATCTGCACAGACTTGGCCCAAGTTCAACGTTCCTAGCTCTCCAGCTGTAACTCAACTAATTAGGCAAACCCTTACATCTTTTTCAAGAGTCAAGATTAGAATATTTGAGTTGTTAAAAGTTTTTCAAAACACTGAAGGTGAGTTGGGTGTAAATAAATTTGTCTTTTGTCATATTTTATCAGAGAGTATGAGAGGAAGAGTTGGCTGTGGCAGGAGGGGAGCAGAAGGGGGATGGCAATGCTATTTAGGAATATTGAAGAAAACCCAGAAATACAAATTATAAGTTGTGACTCAGAATTTAAAGTATAGTTCAGTTATTGGCCTAAAGCATATAAAATTTTTTAGAAACCACATTTAAGTCTTCTTGTCCCTGTCTAACAATCCTGTGTTATACATTCTTTCAATTTCAAATGCCACATTCTGACCTCCTCTTCACTGTTGTGCCTCAAAGCACTCTTCCTTTCTCTCTTACACCTCCCGGTGTTTTTGTTAGACTCTGTAATCTTTCTGTCTTCCAATAATAATTATACCCCCATGTAACTTTGGAAGCACTCTATCACTGATATCTCTACTCTATTTCACTTTATTAATCAGCTTTGCTTATATTGTGAATTTTTATAAGTTGGTGTGTGTGTGCATGTCTGTTTAAACCTTCATTTGCATGTTATTTTATTCGTCTAGAAATAAACTGCTAGCATAAATAAATGAATATCATTTAATTCTTTCTATAATCATATCCAATTATTTCTTTTCAGTTCATATTAATATTTTAAAGTGACTACCTAATTGCTCTTTAACATGGGAAGTTCCTATCTATAAGTAAGATTATTATGGCTGCAGTTATTCCTTTCTCTGTAACTGCAAAATTGGAAATAGTCTGAAAATGCAAAAAAAAATCAATTTAACTTTTTAAAATAAAAAATTATTTTCTTAAATATTGTCTTTCTGATTATGGAATATCTTAGTCTTCATTTATCCAAATGTTAACTCAAGGATGTATATAAAAGAACTCAGTAACTTGAAAAGCTATTACTTGTATCCACAGCTGGACAAATATCTCAATGAAGCATACAAAGGAAACTGTATAAAAATTCTACTGCCATAATGGTGCACACTATCTGGAATTGGGATACTTTTTTCTCCAATCTGTTTGCAAGTGAGCAGTTGGCAATGCATGGACAGACTTTGAGTTTATGCGATTCTTTCTTTAGGTACAGGAAAAATAAGAATGTTGATGAAAAAAAATGCAAGTTTTGAAGACTTCTTTATTCTACTTGGATTTTCTAACTGGCCTCATCTGGAAGTAGTTCTCTTTGTGGTTATCTTGATCTTCTACTTGATAACACTGATAGGAAACCTGTTCATCATCATCCTGTCATACCTGGACTCCCATCTCCACACTCCCATGTACTTCTTCCTTTCAAATCTCTCATTTCTGGATCTCTGCTACACCACCAGCTCTATCCCTCAGTTGCTGGTGAATCTCTGGGGCCCGGAAAAGACCATCTCTTATGCTGGTTGTACAGTTCAACTTTACTTTGTTCTCGCACTGGGAACCGCAGAGTGTGTCCTACTGGTGGTGATGTCCTATGATCGTTATGCAGCTGTGTGTAGACCTTTGCATTACACTGTCCTCATGCACCCTCGTTTCTGCCGCTTGTTGGCTGCGGCTTCTTGGGTAAGTGGTTTTACAACCTCAGCACTTCATTCCTCCTTTACTTTCTGGATACCCCTATGTAGACATCGCCTAGTGGATCACTTCTTCTGTGAAGCTCCAGCACTTCTGCGATTATCATGTGTTGATACCTAGGCAAATGAGCTGACCCTCATGGTCATGAGCTCCATTTTTGTTCTCATACCTCTCATCCTCATCCTCACTTCCTATGGTGCCATTGCCCGGGCTGTACTGAGCATGCAATCAACCACTGGGCTTCAGAAAGTGCTTAGGACATGTGGAGCCCATCTTATGGTTGTATCTCTCTTTTTCATTCCAGTCATGTGCATGTATCTCCAGCCACCATCAGAAAATTCTCAAGATCAAGGCAAGTTCATTGCCCTCTTTTACACTGTTGTCACACCTAGTCTTAACCCTCTAATCTACACTTTCAGAAACAAGGATGTAAGAGGGGCAGTGAAGAGACTAATGGGGTGGGAATGGGGGATGTGACAGGGAAATCATGTTGGCTGTTGTTTTTCCTAGGGTCTTATCCATTTTGAAAGGTTGTTTCCCTGCTTCTTTGTGATTTGTGTTTCATCTAACAGCTCACAAAACATGGAATAGTTCAGTTCCCCCATTTGTTGCTCTGTTTAATATTTAGTTCTGAAATATTATGTTGAGATAAAGGTTTTGATTAGTACCATTTTGTTCTTTTACAATTCTATATTTATTTCCATGAAAATTGTGGACTGTGGTTTCAACATAAATAAATGTGTGTGTGAATAATTATGAGGAGATTATTTAAAAAATATTGGCAATATTTCTGACAATGTGCTAAATTATGAACTGACCATTGATATGTATAGGAAGAGAAGGGCAATATTGCAAAGATGTAGGCTGAAGAAGTTTTTGGTTATTAAATAAACCTTAAATGAAGCTAAAAATAGTCACAGCAAAGAAAAATAGTAAACATAATGAATAACACCATTTATTATATGGTAAAGGATATGTCATAATTTTTTGGTTGAAGTTCACTTTTTAAAGACACTAAATTATATAATTTATCCTGTAGGTCTGCATTCTTGTCACATTGAACAGTAAACTAATATCTCTTTAAAATGGCTGATTCGTTCATCTGTCCATTTATTCATTAACTTATTCTTCATTAGCTAAATCTTACTGGACATGTACTCTCTCCCAGTTTGTGAAATTCTTGGTAACATGTATAAATATAACATACTTTGTCTGAACAGAATGCACTCTCTATCGGGAAAAATGGCAACATAAGATAAAAGATGAAGTATCTGTACATGGCTTAATTTGTCACTGGGGTTAATGCTAATAAATTAAGATAGCTTTTAAAAATCAGAAACAATATACTCTGATTACTCTTCAGATTGTATACATCTTTCACTTTTTAAAAATCGAAAGCAAAACAATAAGTTTGATAATAAACTCTGATAATAAATTCATAGCTCCTGTAGGAAGACAGTGCTATTAAATGAAACAAAGCAGAATATGTGCTTAATTTGCTTTAGTTGGCCTAGTTAATGACATATTAAAGATAGCTTAAAACTCTTAACATCCTTGTTCTTTGCTGAATAGCATTATTAAAAAAATTTCTTTATTTTGATTTTATTTTTTCCAGCTTTACTGAGGCACAAATAAAATAACATATATTTAATGTGCACAATGTGATTATATATAAATCAAACCAAATTGTGAAATTATTACCACAGTCAAATTAACACATCCATCATCTCACATCGTTACTGTGTGTAGGGGGAGCGGGGAGGGTCAGGACACTTAAGATCTAATCTCTAAGCAAATTTCAAGTATACAGTACAGTATTATTAACTATAGTCACCATAATCTACATTAGATCTCCAGAATGTATTCATCTTATGACAGAAAGTTTGTACAATTTGGCTGTCTCTCCACTTCCCACCCTCCAGCCCATGGCAACCACCATTCTATTCTCTGCTTCTATGGGTTCAGTTTTTTTATTTTTTTGATACACGGTCTCACTCTGTCACACAGGCTGGAGTGCAGTGGTGCGATCTTGGCTCACTGCAACCTCTGCCTCCCGGCTTCAAGCAACTCTCCTGCCTCAGCCTCCCCAGTAGCTGGGACTACAGGCACCCGCCACCACGCCCAGCTAATTTTTGTATTTTAGTAGAAACTAGTTCTCACCATGTTGGCCAGGCTGGTCTTGAACCCCTGACCTGAAATGATCCACCTGCCTTGGCCTCCCAAAGTGCTGGGATGACAGGCGTGAGCCACTGTTCCTATCCGAGTTCAATTTTTTTAGATTCCACATGTAAGTGTTATCATACATCTTTTGTCTTTCTGTGTGTGGTTTATTTCACTTAGCACAATATCCTCCAGTTCATCCATGTTATAACAAATGGCAGGATTTTCTTTTTATTGGCTGAATAATATTTCTCGCTGTGTGTGTGTGTGTGTGTGTGTATGAGATCACATTTTCTTTATCCATTCCTCCATCAATGGATGCTTAGGTTGTTTCTTCATCTTGGCTGTCATGAATAGTGCTGCAATGAACATGGGGGCATAGATACCTCTTCGGAATACTTACTTCATTTTTCTTGGATAAGTACCCAGTGGGATTATTGGGATCACATCACATCTCACACAGACTTCACAAAATATGAGAACATAGATTCCTCCTGCCTCCGTGGAAATCTTACCATTTGTAATATGTCATGTGTCACTCCAGCTTCTCAAGATCTACAAGACTCTTTTCTTTTCAAATTTATTGAAGTATAATTTATGTACAAAGAAATCTACACATTTTAAGTATATAGTTCAATGAATTTTTTTATATTTTCTTTTTATTGTATTTTTGTTAGACATCAAATATTGGATTTAATAAGCTATCGGAAAAAGTGTATAATTATAATCCTTTATACTGTAACAGTACTACACAACTTATAAAGCACATTAATATATTTTGTTTCATTAGAATTTTGGTCATCATAGAAACCCTAAAGCTTTGTTGACTATTAGCCTCTTGAAACAAAAGAAAAATAAGATATAAACATTATTGTTCCTATGTTAAAGATTAGGAAATTGAGTCTCAGAGAGATTAAGTAGTCTTGTCTAAATGCACGCACTAACAAATGGCAAATTTGAGTCTCAAAGACAGGTTTCTCAATATCAAATTGAAAGAATAGTTCAGTGAGTTTGACAAATGTATAATTGTGTAAATGCCACCACAATCAAGATTATAGGACATTTCTATTACTCCCCAAAGAACTTCCGTTTTGTAGTCAACTTTCCCCTTTTAGTCATAGCCTGAGGCAGCATTAATTTTCTCTAAATGTACTTGGTTTTTCCCACTTTTAGAATTTCAAATAATTGCAATCATGCAGTGTGTAATCTTTGGGTGTGGCTTGTTTCATTTAGCATGATGTTTTTGACATTTATTATGTTGCCACATGTATCAGTTACTTTTTCCTTTTTATTGCTTGTTAGAACTCCATTGTACGAATGTGCGACAATTTATCCATTTATCTGTGAAGGGCTTTGGGAGTATTTAAAATTTTTGGCTATTATGAATAATGCTGCTATGAAAATTTGTATACAAGTGTTTGTGTGGATGCATGTTTTCACTTAATTTGGGTAAATACCTTTTATTTGTACCTCTCCAGGAGGACCACATGCTTAGTGTATATTATCTTTATGAGATACTGCAAAAATGTTTTCAAGTGGCTGTTCTATTTTCACTTCAAACAGCAGTGTATGAGAGTTCCAAATGAACTCACATTCTTTCTAATACTTGGTATTGTCAGTTTTTATACTTTTCACCTCTCAAGTTAGGTTACCTGTGGCTATAATTTGCATTGAGGGGTGTTGACATTGACCATCCTCTTGTGTGCTTTTCATATGCTTCATATATGTTATTTTGTGTAGCTTCTGTTCAGATATTTTACTCACTTTAAAAATTGGGTCATTTGTCTTCTTATTGTTGAATTTGAAGTTCTTTGTATACTCTGAACTCAAGTCCTTGGTCAAACAAATCTTTTGCAAATAGAATACTGTCATATCTTTCAAAGAGAAAAATTTTAACTTTAATAAAATACAGTGTGTCATTTCCACAGAAAAAGCCTGGTGGCATTTTGATTGGGGATTGCATTGAATTTATAGACCAATTGGAGAAGAACTGGCAACTTGACAACATTGACTTTTCTGATCTGGGGACATGATATAGATCTCCATTTACTTACATCTTATTTTCTTTCAGAAGCATTTGAGGTTTTCATTGTATAGCTATTGTCCATATTTTGTTAAAGTCACCTCTATGTATTTCATGTTTTTAGATACCACTATAAATTGTATAGAAATATGACTGATTTTTTTCCATCGTCTGTTTTATTTTATTTTATTATTATTTAAGTTCTAGGGTACATGTGAACAACGTGCAGGTTTGTTACGTAGGTATACATGTGCCATGTTGGTTTGCTGCATCCATCAATTAATCATTTACATTAGGTATTTCTCCTAATGCTATCCCTCCCGCATCCCCCCCACCGCCCCCACAGGCCCTGGTGTATGATGTTTCCCCCCAGGTCCAACTGTTCTCATTGTTCAATGCCCACCTATGCGTGAGAACATGTGGTGTTTGGTTTTCTGTTCTTGTGATAGTTTGCTGAGAATGATGGCTTCCAGCTTCATCCATGTCCCTGCAAAGGACATGAACACATCCTTTTCGATGGCTGCATAGTACTCCATGTTGTATATGTGAATTTTCTAGGCCTTAACTCCAACTGAGCTTCCCATCTACAATGCTTTAATAGTTTGTGATCTACTCTAATTCACATTCCTCCCATACAAAGCACTCAAATTAACAGAAGCTCAACAGAGATCATTTAGTGTCTTTTATTCCTTTTGATTCCTCAGATGTGACTTTCAATGTGTTTTATTTATCTGAGTGTGTATTGTAGAGAAAAAAGTTGAGGGTTGCTTCCTTAGAAATACTTTGCTGTAATTAAATCATGTTATGCCAGCTGTATTTTCACAAGTTACTAACATCACACCTAAAAATGTTAACATTTGCTGGCACCCAGTAGATTGGCAGGGGCCAAAAACTCTCCTACAATTCTAGTTACCAAAACATGAAAAATATTGGAGCTTGGTACAATCTCCTACAGACCAGGATATCAGACATTTCCTGGATTTTGATAACTGATTGAATTCTGCTAGTCCCCACAGGTTGTAGGATCACTGGTCAAATTCCTCTCCAATAAGATAGAGAAGTTTAGACATATGATTATATGACTATTTAATCATATTTATCTTAAAAATAATATTTAATATATTTTAAAGTAAACTGGAATGATATATACCAAGCTCATGGTAGTTGTCTCTGGATTTAGTGTTGGGTCAGAGAGTGACAGTTGAAGGGGATATGAACTTTATCTGTGATACTTTATGTGCTAAAAATTCTGAAAATAAAAATGACAAAAGTTATGGTTGATGATTCTGAATGATGGGAACATAAGGGTTTATTTTTAATATTTTAAATATCTAAAATAAAGGATGAAGAAATAATATAGAATGACTTGTTAAAATATCACTTCAAATTAAAATTCACTATAATGGTAATAGCAGCTAACATGTATTGAATGATTATGCACTAGGCATCGAGGATAATGTTTACGTATTTTTCACATGGAGTTTTCACAACAATCAAGACTACTGAAGCCAAGACTGTTTTCAGTTGCTTCACATAAGTGGACAGGAAAATACCTGATCATGCTCTTAAAAGTACTGACTTTAAAATATAATTGTATTGTAAATGTGACTTGATTTTCATACCAAGACTTTGTCTGGTACACATGGAATATATCACCTAGACACAATGTAACAATTGAAAAATCTTCATTAGTTTATAAACTCACGATGTGCTTTTTTTTTTAAACATGGGATGTAGGCTAGCTATCACAGCTAATTTAGCTTTTTTATATATTTCTGCAAAGCTTTTAACAAGACATCAAAAGAAATTATTGATAACAATATTTTGGAAATATTAAATAATTTTGTTAAAAGTTTTCTGAGTTTGGTAGTGACCTTCTGAGTATAGTTTGAATGGTCTTCAAAGGTAATTTTTAACACTTTTGCAGGGCTGAACTTGGCCTTGAATTTTAGAGATGTTAGACACAATTAAAAATTCAAATTAATAAAACAAATATGTATAATGTAGTCATTATATTTCCTTTTAAAAAATGTTTCATGCCTTTTCCCATTCCCAAATTAGACTACCTAACAAGCTATATCTCAAATTTGGCCTCTAGCATACTGAAGAATTGGGGAAGAGGTTTCAGGTAACTCAAGATAACCCATTCCCTTCCCTGCAGATACAGCTCAAAGTATTTTTCTCTGCTATGGCTGGACTATAGATTCCTTGTCATCCTCGTACAACAATGTGGCATCATGCCAAGAACATCACTGAGAAACTGTTCTAACCAGGATAACTCCTTGAAGGGCATTAATTGCTACTTTGGGATTTACCCTCCCAGTGGCCCAAGTCAAGGAAAGCAAGTCACATTCTTTTGTTTCCAAAAAGGGCCCATTGACTCTAAGATAAAGACCCATCCCTTGATACACTGAAAGCTCTAATAAGTTTATCTTTTGGGTAAAACTAAATTTTTTTAGTAGACTCAGAGCTTTCTCTTCTGTAGCAATGATAGTCATAGCTACATTCAGACTGTTTTCCTAATTGATGTAGTAGATGAGGGAAGTGTAGGCATTTATGTTGGTGATTTCAAGGTGATCAAAATCAGAGATCAGATCAGTCTGTGCATGATGAGGGCATCAGCTAGGAAGACAATATACAGGGAATGTGGACAGATACAGGAAGGACAGAGTGAAAGGCATTGTTTGAGTACTGCTTAAGTACTAGGTAATATATAAAGAAATATTATGGTAAGAATAAAAAAACTTGGCCAGTGACATGGGGATGGGGAAAAGAGATTATTTTCTCCCTCCGTTATACCTGATTTCCAAAACTAGAGAGGATCACTTATTCCTAGTCCATGAAAGCAACTTTTAACTTTTAATTTTTGTGGGTACACAATAGGTGTATGCATTTATGGGGTACATGAGATTTTTTTTGATAATTTCTTTCTTTTTATTTTTTGTAGAGACATGGTCTCACTTCATTGCCCAGGCTAGTCTCGAACTTCTGGGCTCCAGAGATCCGCCCACCTTGGCCTCCCAAAGTGTCAGGATTACAGGTGTGAGCCACGGCACCCGACCCAGGTATTTTTGATACAGGCATACAATGTGTAATAATCACAGCAGGCTAAATGGGGTATCCATCACCTCAAGCATTTATCCTTTCTTTGTGTTAAGGATAACTTAAACTTTTGATATGGCTTTTGATAAGGCTTTTAACTTTTGATAAGGCTTTTATTTTCTGCTCCACCAGGAAGAAGAAAATTAACCCAGAAAAATTCCTACCTTTTCCTTGCTTGCATCTGGTAAGTTTTTGTTTGTTTGCTTCTTATCTCATATCTCATTCTAACCTCTCTATGTAAGATTGCTCAAAGATGGGTCATGCAATTGGCAAAGGTATCTCACAGCTAAATGTTGTTTTAGTTAATGTAATAAATTATCGAGGCAACTGTACAAGAAAGAAGAAAATTTTATCTGCATGAGAGAAGGTAACTATAACATTTGTGTTCATATTTCTCATGATGTATTATCTCCTATTCTAGAGAAATTTTTAAAAATCTCTTGGAAAATTTTCATCTTCCCTCAAGGGCTGTGACCTCTAAGTCAAGTAATCTTCATGATTTACTCTTTGACTATTGCTGCTTTTTGATTCAGCTATAGCTTTTAAAATTTTCTTTTAAAACAATGTGCAGACTGATTTTCCTGGATGGTTGTTTAAGTTGTTGAAAGTAATCTAGATTAGTGTAACAACTGGCTAATGATTATTTACATTACCAAGTCTGTTAAAAGGTCTGAGGTCAATCTTTTAATCTTGGGACCAAACTGAATGTTCCAAACTTTTCTGCTGAAACTCAACCAATTAGCTACTCCTGACATTTCTTTCAGGCATTGAATTTATAAAACATGAGCGATTAAGAGACCCCTAAAAGAGGCAATCACAGGTGGCCCCACAATGATTTCTTTCTTCCTGTGCCATAGCCAATTGGGAGGTATAAGAAAAATAACCGACTGTGGAAGGAATGAAATAGAGGGCATGTGGCAAAGCTGGAAGAGGCAAAGAATTCAGAGAAAATGGGGTATTTAAATGGTGGGTTGCTATGCCTGACACAATAACTATATAACAAAAATAAGTATCATTTTTTTCTATGAAAGATTGAAAACTCACTGGAGAAAAAGCATCACCTAGGAGTCATAACTATTTGTAAGATATATTTTATTTTTAACAAAAAAAGTAACATGAGATTCACTGGGCACAATGTATTAAATGATGAACAGCCACTTAATGATTCATTAAATATTCAGAACTCTCTAACTTGGAGAATAAATATGTACTAATTATAGCTCATGCTCAGAATTTATATACTATCTAAATTATTGTCCTGGAGAAAAATACATCATGTAGAAACCTTCTTCAGGCCCTGTGGTTCAGCTTCTTGAACCCTGTGATAGACACACCTGCAACTCTAAGAACTACACTCAGGTTCTCCTCCATTTTCCTGCCCCTCCCACTTTTCCTTCCTTCTCTGTTCTCTCACTGAATTTTTATCTTCCTTTCCTTTCTGTAAAGTTTGAATCTTTTCAAATTCAGTTGTAGTCACACATCCTTTAGAAAGCATTCTATCACTGTTCTCCCCAGATTTTTAGCTTAGTTCGTATCATGAATACCCATATATTGATGAGCAAGTGTCTGTGTCTTCTCTACTTGTATTCAATTTTTCAGTTTAGAAATACATTTTGAGTCCAAGTAAACAAATCACAAGATAAGATTCTTATCTAATTGAAGCTAAACATTTTTTCTTTAGGTGAACATTTTGAAATGACTAAATTCAATATTTTCCACATATCTTTTCATCCATATGTAAGATTATTGTGATTGCAATGATTACGTTTTCCACAATCACATTTAAGAAAATAACCTGAAAATGCTGAAAAGAAAACTAAAGTTCCTTATTTATTAACAAAGAAAGATTTTGTGTTTTATGGAAATTATCTTCCTTAGCTAGGTTAGGAATTTCCTTCAATTACCATTTACCTAGATGTCACCCTAAAATGAATGAGAACTTGATAGTTATTTTTCTATAATAAGGCAAACATCTAAATAAAATATAAAATTAAAAAATTATTTTGTATTTTTGTGACTTTTTATTATGGTAAAATTTCAAACTTAGAGAAGAGTTGCAAAAAAGTAGTACAAAAGACTAACATTTACCCTTTTACCAGATTGAGTATTAGTTTACATTTTCCCCCAAAGCTTTGTTATATCATCTATCAACTATCTATCTATTTATCTATCTATCTATCTATCTATCTATCTATCTATCTATCTACCTATCTATCTCTTTTTCTGGGCTAGTTGAGAGTAAGTTGGAGATGACACGTTCCTTTATGCCAAATACTTTATTCAGTGTTTTTTGTCTAAGGAAAAGGATGTTACTTTACATAAGTCCAGCACAGTACCCAAATCAGCAAACTTAATATGGGCACAATATTATTATCTAATCCATAGTCCACACTGAGATTTCTTAAATTGTCTCAATAATTTTGTTAATAGCTAGTTTTTGAAAAAATCCAGGATTGTACACTGAGAAATCACATCTCACTAGTCTCTTTTCATCTGGACCAGTTCCTCACCCTTTGTTTTTCTACTTAAACTTGATACTTTTCTGAATTGTATAGGCAAGCTATTTCTCTCAATTTGAGTTTTTCTCATGTGTCTTCATTATTAGAATTAGTCTTCATTATTAGAATTTTTAACACAAATATCACTGAAGTGACAGCATGTCCTGTTCAGAGCATCATCACAGCAGGTTCATGATGTTGGTTTGTGCAAATACAGTTGATCTTAAGATCAATAAAATCACTGGTTATGGTGGTGTCTGACAGGTTTTTCTACTACAAACTTTACTGTTTTTCAGTTTGAAATTAACTAGAAAGTTGTGAGGAGATATTTTAGACTATTTTAGATATTTGTACATATTCTGTTCCCCATCAAATTTTTATCCACTAGTTTTTGCAATCATTTATGTTTTTCTTAACACCGTCACCCCTTCTATATTTGTTAATTAGGGATCTACTGTAAGGAATAGCTTTATCTTCACCATTCATTTATTTATTCTTTTACTTTTTATATCAGTATGAGCTTTATAATTCTTCTTTTGTTAAATTCATTACTACTAATGGTTAAATTGTCCTACAATTAAATGATGGCAAGCCCTTCAAACTGGCTTTTATTTTTTATTCATGTGTGCTGATATTTTTGGATCATTTGTTTACTCGTTTTTTGAGTTTACCTTTCTTTTTTTTCTCTCAGGTAATAGGAAATGAATGATGATGGAAAAGTCAATGCTAGCTCTGAGGGGTACTTTATTTTAGTTGGATTTTCTAATTGGCCTCATCTGGAAGTAGTTATCTTTGTGGTTGTCTTGATCTTCTACTTGATGACACTGATAGGAAACCTGTTCATCATCATCCTGTCATACCTGGACTCCCATCTGCACACACCAATGTACTTCTTCCTTTCAAACCTCTCATTTCTGGATCTCTGCTACACCACCAGCTCTATCCCTCAGTTGCTGGTCAATCTCTGGGGCCCGGAAAAGACCATCTCTTATGCTGGTTGCATGATTCAACTTTACTTTGTTCTCGCACTGGGAACCACAGAGTGTGTCCTACTGGTGGTGATGTCCTATGACCGTTATGCAGCTGTGTGTAGACCTTTGCATTACACTGTCCTCATGCACCCTCGTTTCTGCCACCTGCTGGCTGTGGCTTCTTGGGTAAGTGGTTTTACCAACTCAGCACTTCATTCCTCCTTCACCTTCTGGGTACCTCTGTGTGGACACCGCCAAGTAGATCACTTTTTCTGTGAAGTTCCAGCACTTCTGCGATTATCGTGTGTTGATACCCATGTCAATGAGCTGACCCTCATGATCACAAGCTCCATATTTGTTCTCATACCTCTCATCCTCATTCTCACTTCTTATGGTGCCATCGTCCGAGCTGTACTGAGGATGCAGTCAACCACTGGGCTTCAGAAAGTGTTTGGAACATGTGGAGCTCATCTTATGGCTGTATCTCTCTTTTTCATTCCGGCCATGTGCATATATCTCCAGCCACCATCAGGAAATTCTCAAGATCAAGGCAAGTTCATTGCCCTCTTTTATACTGTTGTCACACCTAGTCTTAACCCTCTAATCTACACCCTCAGAAACAAAGTTGTAAGAGGGGCAGTGAAGAGACTAATGGGGTGGGAATGAGCCTGTGTATGTGTCATATTAACAATATAACAGAGTCTCCCCTCACAATGATTCATCCTTCTATTTATTTATCAACCATTCTTTTATTCACTCACTCTGTTAGCACTTGCTGAGCATGTACTCTAACAAGGTCGTGGAGTTCCTGGTAACAGGTAGGAATAAAACACAGTCAGCCTAAATACCATTCACTTGTGGAGAAAACAGCTATGTAAAATCAAGATAAAACATCTATAGTGATGTTTTTCCATGGTACAAACCTAATGTATCCAAGACAGACATTTCTCGATTGAAAATAAGGCATGAAATTTGTTGTAAATCTTGATAAAAGCGAAGCTGTAAATCCTATGAAAAGATGATACTCTCAATTTAAAAATCTCTACAATATGTCTTTTAATTTCTTGCTTTTTGGGCAGAATACTTTTGTCTTCTATCTTTAGTTTAGTTAAATACACAGCAAAATACTTCAAATCCTTTTCTCCAACAATGCTTATTCTTTGTCGGATAGTAAATTTTGAGAGGAATTTTGGTCCATATTCTTTCATATCCAGTATCAATAGTAGAACAATAAGTTTTATGAATTGTAGTAAGAGAGGCTTTGAAACAGTATAGCAGAAGTCAGCATCTGAGATCCCTCTTTTTTGCAAGGCAGTGAGAAATATATAGGAAGTAAAAGGAGCTGGTAAAGCTGAGCTATGGAGCTTATAAACAAATGGTCATCATAGGCTAGGTATACTTAGGTGAGGTAAGTGCTTGGAGCAACTGCATTACCTAAGGAACTAAGGAAAACATTTGAGGCAAATAGAGAGGCTCTGAAAATGACTTGAAGCCAATGGGTGTATGAAAGAATTATGTGAAAATATATTGGAAAAATTTTATGATAGAAACTGTCATATGGAAAATGATAGCTTATTTTTATTTTAAAGCTTGATCTAATTTGAGTATTTATGGTTAATAAGTATATTATGTATGTCAATATATGTGTTTCAAATAAAGAAATCTATTTTATAGAAGTAATCATTTTGTTTTATATATTATTGTCAACCATCTTCATTTGAAATAATTGCGCTATACCTAGAGCAATTTAAACTGACAGTCATAGTCAAATGAAGCGGAAAAATGGCTAAAGGAGAATTCAGTATAAAGTAACGTACTTGCAATGCCTGAGTTTTCTCTATAACTCAAATGTCAGCTGTAGCTTTTGAGGCCTGTGAGATTTAGATATGATTGATTCACACACTATTTCCTAAATTATTATAAAAATAAAAACGCATCTCAGAACTTCCCTCCAATTTCTAGTGTGACTTGCAATTGCATTGATTCTGCTGACTTTATCTTCCTTCTGCATCTCTGACTCTTCCTTTATTTCTAACTAGGCATGAAAAATATGAGGCATGTGCCCTTGTCCTTAACCTTACCCAAGAAGTGAAGAACCAAGAATAATGTATGTAAAATGACTTTTAGCAAGAATTGGGACCACATACGGTAAAACATCACATAAAAACACATTTTTAAAAACTTAAAGAACATAACTTCGCCCTTTGAACTGTTTTCTACTATGGAAATCTTACGATTTGGAGCACTTACGGTAGCATCCTGGTTTCTCACCTACTCAAATATCCCCCCCCCCCCATCTTTATTAAGGATAAGTGAAAAAAATGTATTTATTTATAATATACAGCATAATGTTTTGACATATGCATAATTATGCAATTATTACTCAAGCTAATTAACAGATCATTAACTCACATACTTACCTGTTTTGTGGTGAGAACATTTAGGATCTATTATCTTAGCAGTTTTCAACTATGCAGTACAGTATTATTAGCTATAGTCACCATACCGTAGAATAGATCTCTTGAATTTGTTCCTTCCATCTGAAACTTTGTACCCTTTGACCAATATCTCCCCATTTTCCCTATTTCTCTCCACTGCTAACCCCTGACAAGCATCTTTCTGCTACTCTGTGCTTCTATGATTCATTTTATGTCGATTTCACATATGAGATCATGCAGTATTTGTTTTTCTGTGCCTGGCTTATTTTACTTAGCAAAATGTCTTCAGGTTTGCCATGTTGTTGAGAATATTAAGACTTCCTTCTTGTTTTCAGGCAGAATAGTATTCTATTATATATATACTACACTTTCTTTATTCACTCATTCATTGACAGACACTTAGATTGATTCAATACCTTGGCTATTATGAATTTGCTGTCATAAAGATGGGTGTATAGATAGCTTTTCAACATAGTGATTTAATTCTTTTGGATATATACCTAGAATATATACAAATGGATCATACGGTAGTTCTATTTTTATTCATTTATTTTTAATTTATATATTTATTTATTTATTTATTTTTTATTTATTTATTTATTTATTTTTATTATACTTTAAGTTTTAGGGTACATGTGCACATTGTGCAGGTTAGTTACATATGTATACATGTGCCATGCTGGTGCGCTGCACCCACTAACTCGTCATCTAGCATTAGGTATATCTCCCAATGCTATCCCTCCCCCCTCCCCCCACCCCACCACAGTCCCCAGAGTGTGATATTCCCCTTCCTGTGTCCATGTGATCTCATTGTTCAATTCCCACCTATGAGTGAGAATACACAGTGTTTGGTTTTTTGTTCTTGCGTTAGTTTACTGAGAATGATGATTTCCAATTTCATCCATGTCCCTACAAAGGACATGAACTCATCATTTTTTATGGCTGCATAGTATTCCATGGTGTATATGTGCCACATTTTCTTAATCCACTCTATCATTGTTGGACATTTGGGTTGGTTCCAAGTCTTTGCTATTGTGAATAATGCTGCAATAAACATACGTGTGCATGTGTCTTTATAGCAGCATGATTTATAGTCCTTTGGATATATACCCAGTAATGGGATGGCTGGGTCAAATGGTATTTCTAGTTCTAGATCCCTGAGGAATCGCCACACTGACTTCCACAATGGTTGAACTAGTTTACAGTCCCACCAACAGTGTAAAAGTGTTCCTATTTCTCCACATCCTCTCCAGCACCTGTTGTTTCCTGACTTTTTAATGATTGCCATTCTAACTGGTATAAGATGGTATCTCATTGTGGTTTTGATTTGCATTTCTCTGATGGCCAGTGATGATGAGCATTTTATATATTTAATTTAACTTAATTTTTTGAGATGGAGTCTTGCTCTGTTTCCCAAGCTGGAGTGCAGTGGTGGGATCTCTGCTCACTGCAAACTTTGCCTCCCGGGTTCAAGCGATACTCCTGCCTCAGCCTTCTGAATAGCTGGGACTACAGGTGTGTGCCACTGCACCGAGGTAATTTTTGTATTTTTAGTAGATATGCGGTTTCACCATGTTGGCCAGGCTGGTCTCAAACTCCTGACCTCGGATGATCTGCCCACCTCGGCTTCCAAAGTGCTGGGATTACAGTTGTGAGCCACCCTGTTTGGCAATATTTTTAATTTATTTAGGAACCTTCACAGTGGTTTTCCTCATGGCTGTCCTAATTTACATTTCCAAAAACAGTGTATAAGGATTCCCTTTTCTGCATATTCTTCTCAACATCTGTTATCCTTTGTCTTTTTTCATAATAGACATTCTAACTGATGTAAGGTATGAGGTGATATCTACTGGTGCGGGCCTGGACTTTAGGTCCACTGGAGCCTAGAGCAGTGGGGACCATCCCCCTGAAGCCTGGAGCTGGTGTGGTGCTAGAGTGGAACTTACTGCCTTGGGGGCTGGTCTGGAGTCCGGGTTTATGGGGCCCAGCTTATATGTACTGGTCTGGAGGCTAGATCCTTGGGTACTGGCATGGGTCTTGGGGCTACAGAGTCTGACCTGGGGGGCCAACTGGCACTGGAAAGTCCTATTTTGCCATTTTATTGATACCACTTCTCACTATCTAAATTCTTTTTTTTTCTTTTTAACTTTCTGTGCTCTTTTCTCCTTTTTCTCTTACAAAACATATACATTTTCTTTTATATGTATAGACTTTTCATTTTCTTTTGGGAGGTTATAATTATAGTATATCTAATGTTGAATCCTAGCCATATTAGCCTGTGCTGTGTAATTTGTAATCTGAGAAATAGATCAGTTACCAAAAATTCCACCAAAGATTAACACTGGTATTACTGTTTTTATTGTTTTGTACTTTTCAAACCAGTCGAACAGACTTTATGCAGTATTATCACAGATAGGACAACAGGAATGAGTTTTCTCACTTTATCAAACTGAAGGGAAGAAAATAGGTGGCTTGTATAACTTCTGGCAACTTGTATGTGAAAAAATCAGGGTAAGGACAATACATTTTTAGCTCTGACAACCCATTCCTATGTCAACAACACTGAAGGCAAAATAGAAGCCCTGAGATGCTCCCCTTGTCAGCCCTAAACCTTATGAAAACATTTGTGAACTGGGATTTCCAAAGCACACATGAATTTGTATGGCAAGCAACTTTACTGAAGAACTAACAGTGAAGCCAGCTTTTTCCCAGATAGGAATGAAGGCTAACCTCATGGAAGCATCAGCTTCTTTTGCCCTGTAAATTTCTCCTCCCCATTCAGACAGATGTCTCCCAGTCTTTGTCCACTGTATCTTATACTTGTTGCTGTGCAGCATATTCTTATATACATACTCAATTATCTTTTCTTATTTTAACTCTGCAGTACAGAATTGTTGGCACAAATATGTCATCCAGGTAATCACAGAAAGTAGCTCTGGCTTCCAGCCTAGGTACACTCCGTCTGTATTCTGCTATGTAGCTCAGGTTCATATCTCCTATTTTACATATGTGAGGCTGGAAAGGTGATTAGTGATCATATATTATGAAAACACTACATGATTTCAAACATAAGTTTCAAATACAAGTGATTATATACCAAGTATCATCCAACAATCACAAAAAAACTCATGGAAAAGTTATAAAAATAGTAGAAAGACTTACCATTGAGCTTCACCAGATTTAAAAAATCTTAGCATTTCAACATGTATGGTTTATCATTCTCACTTTATACTAATGTTAATATGCATTTAAATTTTTTTTCTAAACTATTACGCTGTAATGCACATGTTCCCCTAGGTTGTCACAAGAATATTTCCTAAAAAAGTATCTAATCCAGGATCATAAGGTGGCAGTGTGATGTCTCTTTTTTCTCTTTAATTGGGAACCATTCCTCAGTCTGTCTGTCTCTTCAATGCACCTTATAGTTTTGAAGAGTGCAGGCCGGCCATTTACTTTAACAAAATAATTGTTTTTAACAAATAAGGGGGATTTATTGCTTATAAAACCAAAAAGTTCAGCAGTAGTGTGGGCTTCAGGTATAGCTTGATCAGTGCTCTGGATCAATATCTCTGCAGTTTCCTCAGCTATGTCCTCTTCCATGTATTGGATTTGTCATCAAGTTGATTCCCCTCACAATCACGAAACATTGTCAGCAATAATCAGGCCTATATGCTTCCTTGTTCACATTCAAGAGGTTGAATATCATCCTATAATCAATGAACAAAAATGGCTCTTTATACAGAGCTTCATACTGACGCATAAGTTGTCTGCACATTCCTGGCAACATGTTTGGGACAAGGGGCGAAAATGCAATGATTGGCTGAGATTAATTGGGGGCCACTTCTGAAGCCAGGTTTTCAGTGAAAGGGCCATATATGCAAAGCCATCTCTCAAATGCACAAAGAGCAGATAAATCAAAGAAGGAGGCAGACAAATCTAGCTTGTTGGTTTGGGGTGATTTACTAAAGGAATTTACAGACATATATGTTGTCTTGGGTGGCCACAACATAGTTAGATTTTGCACTGCAGTCCTCCAGATCTAGGGCTTATCTTTTGAGGAAAGTATACTTGCTCTGAAAGAAACATGTAGGTAGCTACAGGTGCCATGGACTATGCTTCCTACAACAGCGTCAAGGGTTGTTTTGGAGGAAACTTACAGTGAATACATGTTCCTACATAAAGAGTAATATATCAACTTAACATCTTATAGGGACTCAGGGTTATTCAGAAGTTACACGGCAGATTAGCATTTAAAATAAAGTCACTCTTGCTCCTGCACTGGGGGTGGGGTTAATTTCATCCAAAGCACATGCTACACAGTGTAGGTGAGATGGGATAACTATTGGGAGGCAACAGTAATATCATAGTCTCTATTGTCTGCATGAGAAAACTGACCACAACAGAGCTAGTAAGTGATGAAGCTTGGATTCAAATGTGGGCTTTCTAACTTCACAGTTTGTTCTTAATCACTAGGCAATTGTTCCTCCCTATAGACATCTGAACTCTTTAAAACAAGAAGGTGAGGATTCAGTATGTACATTTCTTGGCTCTTTGCAACTTGTCATGGGAAGGTCTTCATTTTCTCCTATTCTTTGTTTTAACACCTAATATTTGAACCACACTGAATTTATCTTACTCTCTTACTGTCCTGAGGATGTTCACAAGAACTTTTCCTTCAAGGTTAAAATGTGTCACTTATACCTCAACCAAACATTTCATATTTGCAGCAATTATGCTTATTCACATAAGGTTGTAAATTCCTCAAGGCTCAACCAATGGCTGAGAAGTGTTTTGGGCCACTGTACCTTTAACAGGCCATTGGTGCATGAAGAACATCAGCGACAATGTCATTCTCCTAGACCACTGGGCAGTATCTGCCATATGTAGGCCAGTCGTTATTTTTTATTACCATTATTACTAATTTTTACTATTATTACTATAGTGGTTTCCAAATAATGATTCTTAAAGTTCCATCATTCCTTCTAAACTTATTAGTTTGTGTGGTAGGCTAAATACTTCCTCTCCTTGTCGCAAATGATCACACCCTAACCTCTGGGACTTGTTATTATATGTTACTTTACATGGCAAAAGGATTTTTATAGATGTGATTAAATTCAGAACCTTGAGTTGGGATTATTATCCTGAATTAGCCAGGTGGGCTGACATAGTCATATGTGTTCATATAAGAGGGAGGCCAGAGGTCAGAGAGAAGATAGTCTGCTGCTGACTTTAAAGAAACAGGAATGGGCCATGAGCCAAGGAAAACAGGTTGCTTCTAGAAGCTGGAGTTGTTGAGAAAACAGATTCTCTCTGAAAGCCTACAGAAGAAATGCAGCCCTGTAGACCCAATTTAGTATTCCTATCTCCAGATACATGATATTTTTGTTATTTTAAACACCAAATTTGTAGTAATTTGTTATAGCAACAATGGAAAACTAATAGAGTTGGCATTCTATATGAAGGAATAGCTTTCCTTTTTCCTGTGTGTGTGTGTGTGTGTACGTGTGGGTATCAGGTATTATTTATCTATGTGTCTACCTATATATCATAATATGGTCTTATGCATTATTATTTCATTCTGTCATTATTTTGATGCTGAAATGGTCACTGTTTTGGCTAGAGAGGACCCCTTCCAGTTGGCTCATATATCTTTTTTATATGTCTCCATACTTCTTAAGGCCAAGATGGGCAGATCACAAGGTCAGGAGGTCCACACCATCCTGGCTAACACGGTGAAACCCCATCTCTATTAAAAATACAAAAAAATTAGCTGGGCGTGTTGGCGGGCGCCTGTAGTCCCAGCTACTCGGGAGGCTAAGGCAGGAGAATGGTGTGAACCCGGGAGGCGGAGCTTGGTGCCACTGCACTCCAGCCTGGGCAACAGAGCGAGACTCCGTCTCAAAAAAAAAAAAAAGAATTTCTTACTGTTGGCAAACTGAGACGATCTTAACATATCTGACACTTTTCTTTGGGAGGAATAGATAACTTTGTTTATCTTAGGTCAAATGACAAAAACTTTGAATAAAGTACTGGGGTTTCCTAATGAACAATTCACTAGAAATGCATGGAATAGATAACACCAAGGCATGGTAATATTGTTGACAAATATTTATTTAGTTATAACATCACATTTCTTTACCCACTCAGGAAATGGAAAGTTTTTGTATTGTGCTTGAGAGTGAGGCAATGGTGAAGAACAGTGACTGGCTATGGGTTTGGGGAGTCATTTGGCAGGAGTGTAAATCCTTGAAATTTGAAAATCTTTCAAATTATCTTGATTCTCCTCAACAAAATACTAGCAAACCAAATCGAACAGCACATAAAAACCTAATTTCTTAGCTTTTTGATGAAATAGCTGTTTCCTCACCTTTTCTATCGTCTAGAGGTAACCTACATTCCTTGGCTCATGGCCCATTCCTCTATATTTAAAGTCAGCAGTGGAGTATCTTCCCTTTGACTTCTGGCCTCCCTCTTATATGGACACGTGTGATTGTGTCAGCTCACTTGCCTAATCCAGGATAATATCCCCATCTCAAGATTCTGAATTTCATCACATCTATAAAGTCCTTTTGCCATGTAAAGTAACGTATAATCACAGGCTCCACAGATTAGGGTGTGATCATTTGCATCCCAGGGAAAAAGCCTACCATGATCCCTTGTGTCCCAGGGATAAAGCCCACGATGATCAAGTAGGCTTTATCCCTGATAGGAAAGGTTGGTTCAACATATGCAAATCAATACATGTGATTCATCACATAAACAGAAATGAAAACAAAAACCACATGATTATCTCAATACACGCAGAAAAGGCTTTCAATAAAATTCAACATCCCTTCATGTTAAAAACCCTCAATTAACTAGGCATTGAAGGAACATACTTCAAAACAATAAGAGCAATCTGTAAAAAACCCACAGCCAACATCATACTGAATGGGCAAAAGCTGGAAGCATTCCCCTTGAAAACTGGCACAAGACATGGATGCCCTCTCTCACCACTCCTATTCAACATAGTACTGGAAGTCCTGGCCAGAGCAATCAGGCAAGAGAAAGAAATGAAAGGCATCCAAATAGAAAGAGAAGAAGTTAAACTATTCTTGGTAGCAAAAGACATGATTCTGTATAAAGAAAACCCCATAATCTTGGTCCAAAAGCTCCTTGATCTGATAAACAACTTTAGATAAGTTTCAGGATATAAAATAAATGTACAAAAATTTAGCATTCCCATACATCAACAACATCTAAGCTGAGGCCTAAATCAGGAATGCAATCCCATTCACAACTGCCACAAAAAGAATAAAATACCTAGAAATACTGCTAACCTAAAAGGTAAAACATCTCTACAATGACAATTACAAAACACTGCTAAAAGAAATCAGAAGTGACACAAGGAAATGGAAAAAACATCCCATGCTGATGGATACTAAGAATCAGTATCATTACAATGACCATACCGTCCAAAGCAATTTATAGATTCAATGCAATTTGCTATCAAACTACCAATGACATTGTTCACAGCATTAGAAAAAAACTATTTTAGAATTTGTATGGAATTAAAAAAGAGCCCTAATAGCCAAGGCAATCCTAAGAAAAAAGAACAAAGTTAGAGGCATCACCTTACTCAAATGATACCAGAGGGCTACAGTATCCAGAACAGCATGATACCGGTACAAAAACAGATATATACACCAATGGAATAGAATAGAGAACCCAGAAATAATGCCACACATCTACAAATATCTGATCTTCAACAAAGCTGACAAAAACAAGCAATGGGGAAAGGACTCCCCATTTTATAAAGGGTGCTGAGATAAGTGACTAGCTCCATGCAGAAGATTGAGACTGGATGCCAAACTTGCACCACATACAAAAATCAACTCAAGATGAATTAAAGACTTAAATGTAAAAATGAAAACTGTTAATATAAAAACTCTGAAGATAACCTAGGAAATATCATTCTGGACATAGGACTTGGCCAAGATTTCATGCCGAAGATGCCAAAAGCAATTGCAACAAAAACAAAAATTGACAAATGAGGCCTATTTAAACTAAAGAACTTCTCACAGTAAAAGAAACTATCAACAGTGGAAACAGACAGTCTACAAAATGAGAGAAAATATCTGCATACAATGCATTTGACAAAGGTCTAATATCTGGCATCTAGAAAGAACTTAAACAAATTTATAAGAAAGAAACAATGCCGTTTAAAAGTCAGCAAAAGACATAAACAGACACTTTCCAAAAGAAGATACACATGCGGCCAAGCATATGAAAAAATGCTCAATATCATTAATCATTAGAGAAATGCAAATCAAAACCGCAATGAGATACCATCTCGTACCAGGTGGAATGGCTATTATCAAAAAGTCAAATTATTAATAACAGATACATCAAGGCTATGGAGAAAAGGGAATGCTTATACACTGCTGGTGGGAATGTAAATTACCTTAGCTATTGTGGAAAATGGTGTAATGATTCCTCCAAGAACTTAAAACAGAACTACTCTTCCACCAAGCAATCCCATTAGCGGGTATATACCCAAAGGAATATAAATCATTCTACCATAAAGACATATGCACGAGTATGTTCATTGCAGCACTGTTCACAACAGCAAATACATGAAATCAACCTAAATGCCCATCAACAGTAGATTGGGTAAAGAAAATGTGGTACATAGACCCCATGGAATACTATGCAGTCATAAAAAGAATGAGGTCATTTCCTTTGCAGCACCATGGATGGAGCTGCAGGCCATCATCCTAAGCAAACTAAATGGAAAAGAGCCAAATACCACATGTTCTCACTTATAAGTGGGAGCTAAACATAAGAACACATGGATACTAGAAGGTGAACCACATGCACTGGGGTCTACTTGACGGTGGAGGGTGGGAGGAGGAAGAAGATCAGAAAAAATACCTATTGAGTACTATGCTTATTACCTGGATGATGAAATTATCTGTACTCCAAACCCCTGTGATGCGCAGTTTACCTGTATAACAAACCTGCACATATACCCATGAACCTAAAATAAAAGTTAAAAAAACCTAAACCCCAAATTACCTTCAACCTTCATGAGTTTTTACATTTGAAAGTTAAATCGATAACTTAATGACAATAATTCAACTCTCTCATGCTTATCCCCCTCATCTAACCCAAAACAAAACAAGATTGGATACTGAGGTGAGGAACCTTTGAATTTTTAAATAGTATTAGGTCTAGCAGAACCTCAGAAAGACACGTTTACATTAAGAGGACTTTGACTATTGATATGGGCATGTAAGTTCTTTACTGCCACGTTCCTAGTAATTCCTGAATTGCACATGTATGAAATGACATTAATTCTCTCATACTTTAGGGTTGCTTGTCAGTGCCTAGAAGGAATACAGTCTCTGTGGCCAGTCTTCCTGGATCAACAAGAGCCTTGTAGTTTCCCATTTTTCATGTGCTAATAGTGAAAATGTTTAGAAAGCCCCATCTATCCTCCCACATTGGCATCCCACTGATGTGCTGTCCTGGTTGCTAGGTGCAGATTTAGGTTCCAAGCAGAACACTGCTAGTGTTCTCTGCAGTTTGTTGTAGAATCATAGTGTCTTGGCAACCAAAGGCAGATCTGGTGCTATGGAGGACCTGCTTACTGCTATGAGGTGTTACTTTATAGAGGTCCTGGAGAAGCTGATTGAGGCCACGTCAATGTTGCAAGGAGACATGAGACTCACATCAGAGTTCTATGGCTTAACATGGGGGATGGTGGTAAGTGCGGCTCTATTTGGATTTTGTAATTATAAAAGCCCACTTTATGTAGAGAGAAAAAAAAGAGTTTACCAGAGAAGTTTCTTCTGTAGTTGAAGACAAATGTAATGTTTTAATAAATTAGGCTGATTAAAAAAGAATATGAGTTTGGCGTGCTGGCTCATGCCTGTAATCCCAGAACTTTGGGAGGCAGAGGCGGGTGGATCACCTGAGGTCAGGAGTTTGAGACCAGCCTGGCCAACACGGTGAAACCCCATCTTTACTAAAAATACAAAAAATTAGCCGGGCTTGGGGGTGTGTTCCTGTAATCCCAGCTACTTGGGAGGTGAGGCAGGAGAATCGCTTGAACTTGGAGGCAGAAGTTGCAGTGAGCCGAGATAGTGCAATTGCACTCCAGCCTGGGCAACAAGAGCAAAACTTTGCCTCTTGAAAAAAAAAAAAAAGTGTATGAAAAGGTAAATTATTTTTCATGGAGTCCTGCCCTGAGAACAAGGCATCAAATCCTCTAAGTGTATAGGAAATTTGAGTTCAAAATAGATGCTTTGAAAAAAATAAAGAAAATGTTTTTGAAAAATGCAAATTTTAACAGATTTAGGGTATAGAAGTGCAGTTGTGTTCCATGGATATATTTACATAGTGAAGTCTGAGATTTCAGTGTATCCATCATCCAAATAGGATACATTGTCCTCAATAGGTAGTCTTTCATCCCTCAACCCTTTCCCAACTTCCCACCTTTTGGAGTCTCCAATGTCATTATTTCATTCTGTATCCACATGTACCCATTGTTTAGCTCCCACTTATAATTGATAATATCTAGCATTTGGCTTTCTGTTTTTGAGTTATTTCACTTAAGCCAATGGCCTCCAGTTCCATCCAAGTTGTTATAAAAGACATGACTTCAGTCTTTTTATGGGGAAGTAGTATCACATTTTAGAAATCCAATAGTCCATTGATGGACACTCAGGTTGATTCTATTACTTTGCTATTGTGAATAGTGCTGCGATATACATAGACATGCAGGTTTCTTTCTGATATAATGATTTACCTTTAGGTTGATATCCAATAATGGGATTGCTGGGTCAAATGGTAGTTCCATTTTTAGTTCTTTGAAAAGTCTCCATACTGTTTTCCACAGGGCTTGTACTAATTTACATTCCCACCAACAGTGTATGTATTCTTTTTTTCTCTATACCCTTGGCAAAATTTGTTTTTTTTTTTTTTGTCTTGATTTTTTTAATCATGGCCATTTTGAATGGCATAAGGTAATATCTCATTGTGGTTTTAACTTGCAATTCTCTTATGATTAACATTTGTTCATATGTTTATTGGCCATTTATATGTGATCTTTGGAAAAAAAAAGAACATCTTAAAGTTCAGAATGGGGCCAGGTGCAGTGGCTCATGTTTGTAATCCCAGCACTTTGGGAGGCCGAGACAGGTGGATCACAAGGTCAGGAGTTCAAGACCATCCTGGCTAACACGGTGAAACCCCGTCTCTACTAAAAATAGAAAAAATTAGCCGGGCGTGGTGGGGGGTGCCTGTAGTCCCAGCTACTCGGCAGGCTGAGGCAGGAGAATCGCTTGAACCTGGGAGGCAGAGGTTGCAGTGAGCCGAGATTGCATCACTGCACTCCAGCCTGGGTGACAGAGCGAGACTCCGTCTAAGAAAACAAAACAAAACAAAACAAAACAAAAAACTTCAGAATGTATTACATTCATGGCTAGGTTTAGAATATGGGTTGAGTCACTGGAAGATGTGTTGAATGAAGTCTTTTAAATAGTGAGAACCTGATGCCAAAATGACCTTAAAACTATGTCAAAAGAGAAAAACCCCACTTAAGACAGCAATAAAATAGGGTTTGGATGAGCATTTCAATCTTGAGGAAAACCTAACCTGTTTGCAAAATAAGCCTAAGGATTGGATGACAAGTTTACCACTGGGCAAAAAGATATTTATATCCTTGGATTAAGTGCTAAATGATAAGAAATCAAACCAAATATTTGAGTGAACAATTGATGAATATTCACTACTATACTTGGAGAAGATAAAATGGATGTTGGGACTTAGAACTAGATCAAATCAGAATGAGTATCGATCAATGTTCAGTCAAAGGGGGTTGGAGGAAATTTGTTTATGCTTCTTAAAACGCTTTTTTTTTTCTTTTTTGAGACGGAGTCTTGCTCTGTTGCCCAGGATGGAGTGCAGTGGTGCCATCTCGACTACTGCAACCCCCATCTCCCGGTTTCAAGTGGTTCTCCTACCTCAGCATCCTGAGTAGCTGGGATTACAGGCATGCACCACCACTTCTGGCTAACTTTTGTATTTTTAGTAGAGACAGGGTTTCACCATGTTGCCAAGGCTGGTCTCGAATTCCTGACCTCAAGTAATCCTCCCAATTTGGCCTCCCAAAGTGCTGGGATTACAGGCATAAGCCACCGTGCCTGGCCTCTTAAAAGACTCTTCACGGACAGAGAAATAAAATATAAATTAGGTTATATGAAAAACATTGAATCGTGAAGCCTTTAAAAATCACACTGAACATATTCAGCATGAATTAAGCATTTTTCTAGCACGAAAATGTAGCTTGAAAGTAAGTAAGGTTCAGAACATTTAGCCAAATGTTTAAGTAATTTCTAAACTGTATTGAGAAAATGGAATAGTTTCATGGATTATATGTATTAGAAAAAGTTAATTAGAAAGTTTTCAAATACACATTAAGTGATAGATACAGAAAAAAAAAACAAAATTCTTAGAGAAAAAATGAAAAAACTGACCTGTTCTTATCAAAGACATGATTTCCCATATTTAAAAAAGCTTGTAATAATTGATTTACAATTAAGTTGACTGAAGAAAATCTCACTGATTTAAGAAAATCTATATGAAAGTCCAGATGCCAGTATTTTTTCCTATAAAAATCTTCATAGTCAATATTAAGGCTTTGTAAATTGAGATACAAAATTGAAGTATTATGAAAGTACTCATGTAACAAGATTGAAAATAAATTCTCACAAATTCCTTTGTCACTAAAACAAAAGCACTGAAAATTTATGCTAGCAAGAATGCAAAGTGAGGGAAACTCTCTTTGATTGCTGGAAGAAATGCAAAGTGGTGCAACTAATTTGACCATTTGGCAATTTTTATAAAGTTTAATATAGTCTTGCCATATGACTTAACAATCACATTCCTAAGTATTTACACCAGTGAATTAAATCTTATGTCCATGTAAAAATTTGCATGCAAGTATTTATATCAGTGTTATTCATAATTACTCAAAACTGTAAGCAACCCATGCCCTTCAATAGGGGAAAAATAATCTTGGGTATTTCCATACAATGATCTATGATTTTGTGGAAATTGATTGATGAATGAATACTATTGATCAAAGGGATGGAATGAGCTACTGATACATGCAACAACATGAATATTTGTTAAGTGTATTTCACTAAATGAATGAAGCCAGACTTCAAAGTCTGAATATTGTATGAGTTCATTCATAAGACATCTGGAAAAAGAAAACCTGTTGGGATGGAAACACACCAGTGTTATCCAGGGCTTAGTGTAGGGGAGATTAGTTGATTACAAAGAATACACGCAGGGGACATTTTAAATGATAGAGTTGTCTTGTATGGTGCTGCACTAGTAATATGCAAGTCTATGATTTATTAATCCCCAAGAAGTGTATCACAAAATTGCACTCAAATGCATGCAAATAAACAAGCAAAAGTTTCACCAAGATGCAGGAAGATCCTAGAATGGTATGCAGACAGTGACAAATCAATCTCACGTTATATAAATGTGTAAGCTAACGACCCTGAAAAGGGTAGAGAAGAAGTAAATACTGACTTTGGTTATTTTGAGAAATAATATTTTGATTAAAAAATGTCAGGCTAAAGAGAAAAGTAACTGTGCATAAGTACTGTATTCTAAATGGTAATTTTTTTCTCATGTGGGTACAGCTAATTTTGTAATTGCTTCACAAGCATACTAGTGTTGAACAAAAATGTTAAAAGATGAACAGTGGCATCCAGGTTTCTCACTGTTGGTATGAGAAGTTATAGGTAAACAAGAAAGGAAGGCCAGAATGATCATGAGGGACTGTGCTAGAGTCAGAGTTACACTGTGACATCATGTTTAAACACAAGCACGAATACACACGGACACACACATAGATGGACAAATATAGAAGCAATGACAGATATGTGTGTATTCAGGGCTTACTGTGTGAACACACATTACCTAGCCCTTTCTGCTGAAATAATCTAGAAACAAAGTTACCCTCACAGCAGTGTGTGCATGTCTGCCATGTCCAGTGAAAAGAACCAGAGATCCTTGGGGAAATGTCTGATTCTAAGATATTTCTAAGGCTGGTGAAAAAATATATAAGATAAGCCTGGAGGAGAAGGACCAGTAATACCAGAAATCAAGGAGGGGCCTTGAAGAGAAAAGGATAGCAAAAGGATGAAGACCTGTCCAAGACCCAGCAGCCAGCATGAAAGAGCTCTCAATGGGGAAAGCTGGAACAATTTCAACAACAAAATAAATAACATATCACTGGATTATAATCTGAAGTATAAAAAGTATGAGTCCATACTGTTAAATGATTGAATAAATACATAAATGGAGAAGAAGAGAGAAATCTTCCTTACTGATCTATTAATAGTCTCCACTTTTGGGGGTGGAGCTCGTGATCTCCTTCATTAAGTATAGGCTGGATTCAGTGACTGTCTTCCAAGGAATAGAGTATGGAAAGGTAACAATTGTAAGTTTAAGTTTTATTTAGTGCAAACACTACCTTAAGCAAGTGATTAAAGTCAGCACCATCAGTAATGCCATGTAGATATTATGTAACCCCTGCTCTGATGGGATAAAAAGGGCACTTTACCTCTGTGGTCACCTCTTCAAAAATTCAAAGGCCCAGTGTAATTGATGGCAGCTGTGGCCTGTGTGCAGTGGCTGCTGCCATGACGTTGGCTGCAGTGGGAGAGGTGCGGGTGGGGCTGTGCACTCGATGGAGCCCGAAGGAGCTGGGAACAGGCAAAAGCCCCCACCCCTTATGAGTTGGCAGGCAGGTGCCTTGTGCTCCCCAGGCTCAGTTGCAGCTGCCCAGCTGTGGCTGCAGACCCGGGTATCCCTGTGCTCTTGGGGTCCGGGAGCAGGCAGAAACCTCACCCTCCCGGGTGCAGCTGCAGCTGCTCAAGATGTGGCTACAAACCTGGGCATCCCTGTTCTCTTGGGTGCCAGGAGCCCTGCCCTTCTGGGTGCAGTTGCAGGTGCGCAAGCTGTGGCTGTGGATCTGGGCATCTCCACACTTTTGGGGACCCGGGAAAGAACCCTTGCCCCCGTGCAGACTCGGAGGTGCCTGCTCCTGCTGCCTGGCCTCTGCCTGCTCCTGGCACCAGCTCTGATCTCGGAGCGGAGTTGAGGCTGAGCCCTGGGGCTTTTGCAACCTGGCCTGGTGTGTGCATGCTTGGGGCATTGCTGACACACCAGCATCCTGCTGCCTGAGCCCCGCTCTGGACTTTGGGCACCAGTAAGCAAGGAAGGGAGGCTGGGGAGGTGCTGAAGGCAGCTTGGCCCTGGCCTGCAGGTGACCCTCGGCAGGAACAGCCTGGGTGCCATGAACAGTGGCAGGAGGCAGACAGGCTCCTGGACAGAGAGGGATGGGTCCCCAGTGAGGCCCCACCTTCAACCCAGGGAAGGCTTGAAGCCTGAGAGCCGGGCTGCCAGCCTCGCAGACTGGAGTGGGAATTTATGATGCTTTTTCTGGGCCTGCACATGGTTGCCCAAGGGCCAATCAGCACCTACTTCCTCTACTCTGAAGCCCATAAAAACTCCCGGACTCAGCCAGATTGAAAAAGATGACAAGACAACCAGCTGCAGAGAGGAGGTACCCACCCTAGGGTCTCCTCTCTGCTGAGAGCTGAAAAGGCAATGGTACGGCCAGCTGTGAAAGGAGCTATCCACCTCAGGGTCTCCTCTCTGCTGAGAGTTGAACACTGGTCAGGACACCCTGGCTGTGGAGAGGAGCTACCCTCTATGTGTCTCCTCTGAGCTGTTCTGTTGCTCAGAAAAGCTCCTTTTCACCTAACTCACCCTCCACTTTCTGCATATCTCATTCTTCCTGGGTGCAGGACAAGAACTTGGGACCCACCGAATGGCATGGCTGAAAGAGCAGTCACACAAACAGGGCTAAAACATACCCTTTCCTCACTCACCACATTGCAGGCGACAAAAAGGAGTGAAGAACTGCTGCCCTTCGGGGAGCCCAGACCTAAGAGCTCCCTGAGTCAGGGCTGTGACAGCCTCTTTGGCTCTGTGGTTCCTGGTGTCTCTTAGCTTCTGGGCACCACTGCATTCTGCAGCATCAGCCATGGAAGCTGCTTGCAGTACACCTGCTCCAGCTGCAGCCTTGCAGGGAGCTGGTGCCTGTGTTGGTGCCTGGAACTGCCTGCCCTGCCACAGCAAGCATGCCTGGCTGTGTGCAGTAGGTGGACCCCACACTTTCTCGCTCATACACGCCTCGCTGCTCTGCTTGCCCTTGGCAGGTATGGGATCCAGGCTGGTATTGTGAGCTGAGCACAGCCTGCTAGGCTGAGTGGGCCAGTGGGCCTGAGGAAAACTTGGGCATAGGTGCCACTAGGGACAGAGGTTTTCGCTGGTGAAGTGATACCCCAAGGATCCCATAACATAATCATGAGAAAACATCGGACAAACCATGATTGAAGTGCATTTTATAACATACCTGAGCAGTACTCAAAATTATCAATATCAAGAAAAACAAGGAAACAGATTCAGGAAACTGAAACATGACAACTAAATGCAATGGGGTGTTCTGGATTGAATTTTGCAACAAAAAAAGAACATTAAAGAAAATCCTGCTGAAATCCAAAGATAGTCTGGAGTTTCAGTGATAGTAACATACCAATGTTAGTTTCCTAATTTTGAAAAATAAACCAGAGAAATGTAACATTAAGGGAAAGTGAAACTGGGTAAGGGGTATTTGGGAATTCTCCATGCCATCTTTGCAACTTTTCTGTAAAGCTAAAATTATGTCAAAATAAAGCATGTATGAAAAATGTATTACACAGATGGGAAGGAACAAGATGTCCAACTAGATGCAGCCAGGAAGCACCGCTTTCACTGAGAGAGACCAAATTATCGAGTAAATCAACATAAATTGGACAGATCTTAGGAAAGAAAATGCTGAGCGTGAAGAGGCAAAGCTAAAGCTGAGGCTGTAGAGACAGAAAGCTGGGGACCCTGCTGTTGGGATGGCTTCTGGGAAATTGGCGAATGAGGGAACTGAGGGAATGCTCACTCTTGTCATGGACCTCTGGGATCCTAGCTACAAGAGACTGAATGCCCCCCATAAAGGTGTTAGCTGACAGGGGGATCTCCCTGGCGAAGGTTAACACCGCTTCCTCAACCCCTTCACACACAGACACTTACAGATCACGTAAATGGAAACTCTTCAGGGGATGAGGGAGAATGCAACTCTCTGAGTGTCTTGGTATCAGCAACAGCACAGGTTAGTAATAAGCCCTGAGGCAGGGAAAGTGATCTCATATCAGGAGTAATTGAATGTGAATCATGGGGAAAATTGAGAGATGTATTGGGATCAAGTGGTACTTCAGTTTTCCCCTTAGCCAAAATACATCCCAGAACTTTCTAAATCAACTAGTGCAATGAACTATACTGAATTTTTATTCATGACTTCATTACACTACTAAAAGATAAAGTCTCTACTCCGGCTTCTAGGTTAATAGTAGCAAAGTATAATATGCCTATTTAAAATGGTCCTATTACCTAAAAAAGTTGATCTCATGGAAGTAGAGAGTAGAAGAGTGGTTACTAGAGGAGCTGGATAGGGTAGGGTGAAGAGGGGAATGAGGAGAGTATGATCAATAGGTACAAAGTTAGAGTTAGCATGAATAAGTTGTAGTGTTTCACTGTACCATAGCGTGACTGTTGTTAACAATAATATACCGTATATTTCAAAATAGGTAGAAAAGAGGATTTTGAATGATCTCGTCACAAAGAATTGATAAATGTTCAAGGAGATGAATATGCTAATTACCCTAATTTGGTCTCTATACATTGTATATCTATATCAAAACATCATATCTCATAAGCATGTACAATTATATGTGAACTAAAAGGAAAATGGAACTAAATAAAGTAAAATAAAATGGTCCTGCAACATTTTAGCCAGAAAGAAAGGAAAACATATTTTAGGCAGAAGGACAGTGGAAAAGAGAAGACAATATTTGATGTTTAATTTTCACAGTTAATGCAAAACAAAAGCGATAGAACAAAAGTTTATGCCATTTTCACCAATAGAACCATTTTGGAATAGGATCATAAAAAATCAGGTTATAAATTACTGCTAATAATAGCTGACAATTGACTACAGCCAAATAATGAGTTCAAAAGCATTTTATCATGTTCCATTTTCAGATTTTTTAGATAGTAATTAAAACAATGAATAATTTAGTAGCAACTTTATGTTAAAGGCATAGTTAAATGCATAGATAGAACTATTCACAGGAGTTTCACAGACAATAGACCATGTGTCAGTCCTTTATTATAAATATTTTAAAAGGAATGCATCTCAAATTTTTTCCTTCAGCCATAAAATCTTTGTTTCAAGTGAGATGTTTGTTAAAGTACTTGGTATACCGACTGTCATTTAAAAATCTAAAGACATTTTTTTCAGATAGTTTTCTCAAATAGAAAAGACAACCTGGCCATTTCTTGCCAATTATGAATTTTAAAATACAGTCTTAATTATAATATGATATAATGTTCATACTAAGAATTGTGCTCATGCAAATTGAACGTATTAATCAGAAAATAATTTATGTTAACATATTCCTTAGTTCATATAGAAAAGCCACATAATACCTATATACTAACAAAGCTATTGATGTACATAGATGACCAGTCAAAATTACTTATTAATAGCCTTATAATGTGACTTGTCAGATGTGCCCATTTGCCTAAGAGTCACATAGTGAATTCAGATTCAGTCATTAGTTGGTACTCTTTCTAGCAAAATAGCTTCTATGGATTCAAGAAAGAAATGATTAGAGGATTTGCTGCACTTAAGAATTTGAGATCTGAGATAATGAATCCCCTGAGATAGAAGAAGATGATGTCCCCATGGTGCAGTTAACTCTACTGTTTGCTCAGTGGAAGGATATTGGAATCATAGCAAGGGGAGAAATTCCAGAAGCAAATTTTAAAGCAGTTTCTCTGCAAAAACATTTGAATCCTCTCTATTGCCCACTGAGCCCTGCCTCCTCACTATCCTAATGCAGACAGCATATCACATATCACATATATTAAAACAACCTTAAGTTGGACACTTATCAGTGTTTCTTATAAATACTATTATTTTACTTTGAAGAGTTTTTCTGGGGAAAGGGGATTACAGACTCTAAGACTTAGAAGTGTCTGCAGAAACTACTGTTGTCCACTTCCCAATATTAATTCTTGTTAAAATGTATATTATATATCATACTAAGTATGGTATGCATAAACCCTTTATCTTAATATAACATCATGTTAAATTGTTGGATATCTTTAATGTCTCCAAAAAAGAAATGCTAAAATTTCATTTAGATTTATCCTTTATAAATAAAATTTTTGATAACAATTAATTCTCTTTTTGCAAGTAATGTCTTTTTTTTTTTTTTTTTTTTTTGAGATGGGAGTCTCACTCTGTTGCCCAGGCTGGAGTGCAGTGGCACAATCTCCACTCACTTTAACCTGTGCCTCCCAGGTTGAAACCATTCTTGTGCCTTAGCCTCTCAAGTAGCTGGGACCACAGGCACATGCCAACACACCTGGCTAATTTTTATAATTTTAGTAGAGATGGGGTTTCACCATGTTGGCCAAGCTGGTCTTGAACTCCTGACCTCAGGTGGTCTGCTCATTTTGGCCTCCAAAAATTCTGGGATTATAGGCGTGGGCCACTGCTCCCGGCCAACTGATGTCTATTTCTTCTTGTAGATAATTAGTAACATCTTCCGCGGAATTTGACTTCAGTTTTTCTAGAGTCCTTTTAACTTCTGTTTCAAAAACTACTTTCCTTGATATTAAAGTCGTTGAAATAATCTACACCTTCTGCTCAATCCTGCAGACTTAAAACATCATCACCACTGTCTTTGGCTCATCTCTTTCCCAGAGGACACACATTTAACAAAATTTCCAAGTTAACCTCCTATGTTAATCTCTCACACTTCCCCCATCTTTTTCATTTTTACTTCTCTTATCCTACTAGAGAGCCTCATTATCTATTGCAAAGATTGTTGCAGTACATTTAACTAATTTCCTATGTTTTTGTACTCCAAGTGGTTTTTTACTTTGCTAAATGTAGTCATAAAATAAAGGTCTTACATTGTCTCAGGGTTTAAAATCCTTCAAGTTCTCATCTCCTATAGAAACACACATTCTTTAATATCAGCCTTGGTTCTGGTTCCTGGTTCTCATTCAACATAGATCCTCCTTTCAGTCTCCCATATTGCCCCATGGAATTTCAGATGGAAACATTGAATTCTTCATGATTTTGAATGTATAATTTTAAATTTCCATCATTTTTGCAAGTAGTTTGTTATAAGGTGGAAAAAGCATGAATTTTTGGTAATTGAAAGCTTTCAAATTCTAGTTCTGACGTACACTATGCAAGCTCAAGAATTAGTGAACCACATTTTCATTATCTATCAAATGTGGCTAATACATACCTTAAAGGGTTATTGAAAGATTAAATAAGACCATACATACAATATGTTTAACACTTTTACTAGCTCATGGCAGCTTTTCAATAGTTGTGAGTTCTCCTTTTTAACATGACTTTTTGATTATGATTATGATATTTCCTCAGCCAGTGATGTATTACTATATACTCCTATTAAATATTACAATTTTTATTTGCCTTTTGAAAATATTTTTAATTCTTCTTTGAGTACTTTAATTAGTCTTCTTTTTTCATTCCAAAGGCACATTCTTTTTTTTTTTTTTTTTGCTTCTGTGTCTATATTATTATTATTTTTATTATACTTTAAGTTCTAGGGTACACTTGCACAAAGTGCAGGTTTGTTACATAGGTATACATGTGCCATGTTGGTTTGTTGCACCCATTAACTCATCATTTACATTAGGTATTTCTCCTAGTGTTATCCCTCCCCCTGCCCCCCAACCCATGACAGGCACCCGTGTGTGATGTTCCTCGCCCTGTGTCCAAGTGTTTTCATTGTTCAATTCCCACCTATGAGTGAGAACATGTGGTGTTTGGTTTTCTGTCCTTGTGATAGTTTGCTCAGAATGATGGTTTCCAGCTTCATCTATGTCCCTGCAAAGGACATGAACTCATCCCAAAGGCACATTCTTGAAGGTGCATGTTAGCACTTCTTGCCTTGCAGTTATTATGCTATGCAGATCTTAGGACATCTCTAATATGGAGAAAGCCACTGTTAAACCTTCTTGAGTTCTACCTTAAATATTTTTCCAAATACATTTTTAGTGACTTTAAATCTAGGGTTAAAATGCTTTGTTTTCTTCCATTTGTTATTTAGGAAAGGCCTACTTGCTTGGGGAAATAAGAACTTTAGATCACTTTCCTTGAAAGGCAATCTCAGAATTGCTCATGCTTTACACAAAAGGTAGAGCACGCTTTCTCTTTCAAGTATAATGCGTCCCTTCTCTTCTACAGAATTTTTCAAAAGTTGACTGAAGTATCCTTCATGCTGTAGCATACTGAGCAGTATATATTCCCTGGAAATGCAAAGTCCAAATAAAACCTTTCTGTGGGTTTTCCAGTCCACTGTTCTGAGTATTCTTTATTCTGAGATTTTTGCATATAATTCTTAGGAAATCCTGATTTTTCACTGTGTCTAGATTTCACTCATGCCTCTGAAATGAATGTTTTTTACAGGACTTGAAGGTAGTATATACATTAGCCAAGGACGGAGGATAATTTGAGAGAGTCAGATGAACTGTAATGGGTTTTTATAGCAAAGCTTTTGACAAAAATCGTTCTGTGTTTTGCCTTCAAAACTAGAAATTACTATATACTTCTGTATATAAGACTAAGTTAGACAAACTATACCTTAACTAATAAAAATGATCAAAGCTATTGTCTAACACCACAGAATTAGGTCATGTGTTTGTGTGTGCATGTGTATAAAATTTGAAAACATTTTTCTGGCAATCAACCAGAAATATGCCAATTTTTAAAGTTACTTAAATTTTTTTCCAAACTAGATATATAAAAGTTCAATGATTTGAGGATCTGTATCAGCACCAGATGATCTGTTATTTTTCAGCAAGTGTATCTGGTTTGCAGTTGATTCTTGTTTGAACTAACATGAGGTTTTCCTTCCAATTATTGGCTTAGATCTTGATCATACCAGAAGTTATGCCAGAAAAGTCCAAATGACCTTTTGTTTTTCTTACAAGTATTTACTTCTTCACTACACAACACCGTGTTGAACTCTCAACATATTAATTCAACACCAAGTAAATATAAAATCTATTCATTTGCTCTCATAAATTGTAACTAATTTCGTGACAAAGTTTTAAGTTTTGGGGTGTGAGTCCTAGAACTAAGTTTTAGCACTTCCAACTTTTAATGATACAGGTTTTGTACATCATTTGCATTTAACATTTACATCAGTAAAAAGACATATTGTTTGTTGAGGTAATCAAGTTGCTTTTTGTTCCAGAAATGCAAATTATTTTTTTCTCATACTGATTCTGATTCTAACACAGTTAGTTCCAAAAGGCATTCCTGGCTGTTCCAAATTGTGCACGGAAATGCTTCCAGGTTGTGTTTCATTATTAATATCACTTCCTTGTTATCTCACTGATTCGAAGACTCATTATTATAGTATGTAAAAGGAAAGTATCAGAAACTTTTTCATACTTTTTGTCCCACTATTCCACTCATTTCAAAATTTAATAATAAATTATTTAATTAAAAATACAAAATCACTGCATACTTATTTGTTAAAAAAGAATTACACTGAATTTTTAAGAAGCAATAGTATCTACATAAATTGGGGTTGATAAGCTTATGAGACTCATGATTATTCCAAAGTATAATGTGCTTCACATTGAATGCCCAGTGTAGCCACACTGCCCATTTAGACTTGGGACAACATGCAGAGAGTGATGGAATGTTTCTCAGGTGACTCTGACAGGAGGCTCATTGATGAGTGGTTGCTATACTATTTTTACAATTAGCTTGAACTAATAAATTCATTTTACTAATTTTTTTACTACTTAACACAGTTACTATCTCTGTATGTACCAACCAGTATAGAACTATTTTAATATATTTCCATAATATAATGTGCCTACTAGCCAAGTATAATCCTTGCTGAACATGTTTACAAAGAGTCTCGGAGACATAACATATTTTGCAAGAACATGTAAAGCGATATTTGATTATGAGACAAGAATTTGTTAGATAAAACCATAGCAACCTACTCTAACTGTTCAATAACTTCATTTTATGTCTACCCACTATCACTTAAAGCTGAAAATGCTCCTCACCAAGTTGCGTAATGCCCCCTTTACATTCTTATTCCGCAGGGTGTAGATAAAAGGGTTGAGTGAGGGAGTCACCACTCCATAGAAGAGGGCCATGAACTTGGGTTGATCCCTTGAGATGGAGGAGGGGGGCTGAAGGTACATGCTGATGGCTGGGCCATAAAATAAGAAAACTACAATAAGATGGGAGGAGCATGTCCCAAAGGCCTTTTTCCTTCCCTTGGAAGATTTGATCTTAAATACAGCACTTCCAATACTAGCATAGGAAGCAAGAATTAAGCATAGTGGGACAGCTAACATAAAAATGCATACCACAGAGAGTGTGAGCTCGTTAGAACCCTTTTCACCACAGGCAATCTTTATCAGAACAGGAATCTCACACACCAAGTGGTCCAGTTTATTGAGACCACACAGTGGCAATTGTAATGTGGCAGTGGCCTCTGAGACAGCATAGATTATTCCAATTAGCCACACGGTGGAAACTAAGGATACAGACGCGCTGATTCATGATGAGGGTGTAGTGAAGAGGTCTGCAGATGGCCACAGAGCGATCAAAGGACATAATAGCCAAAAGCAAACATTCTGTTCCCCCCATTATGTGAAAGAAATAAAGCTGAACCGCACACCCCATATAGCTGATGGTCTTCTTAGAGCTTCCCAGGTTAAACAGCATCTGAGGGACAATGCTTGTGGTATAACACATGTCCAAAAAGGAGAGGTTGGTGAGGAAGAAATACATGGGGCTATGAAGACGAGAGTCTAACCTGGACATGAGAATGATTGTGATGTTTCCCATCACGGCTATAGGGTACATTATAAGAAGACTAGTGAACAGAGGAAGCTCTAGCCAAGGGCGGTCTGCAAAGCCTAGCAGAATAAATTCTTCAGGGTGGCTTTCATTAGTTAGTGGCATTATCTTCAATTTGTTTCACCTGTAGTAGGGATATGCCAAAGAAGGTAGAGCTATGGGTATCGACAAAACATGGTGATGCATTGATTGTCTACTTATAGATGACAGGGTGCAGTAACCTGGGGTCAGAATAACATAAAACATCTGGTATCAGGTGATCTTATTTTCCTATGGGACACTACAAATTAAAGGCAGATATCTTAATCCAGTAACCCAACCATTCTGAAATGGAATTTCTTCTTCTGTGTAAGAAGGTTGACAATAACTACCATTCTTGAGTGAGGTGAGGATTAAATACAAAGTAAAAGTGACCGTATAGTTTTCAAACTTTGAGTTGCATAAAAATCAGCTGAGAAGGTTGCTAGAATGAAATTTATTGTTTCCTATCTTTAGGTGTCTGATAGAGTAAATGTGGCCTGGGGCTGAGGAACAGGATGGTTCATTTTCAGAAACAGTGCTGCAAGGCATTACTGAAATGCTAAGAAGAATAAACATATTGAGGTAGCAATGGTAGGAGAAAAAGGAGGAGAAAACCTGGAGTCATAAGAATCATCAAGATAGCATTGTCCAGCTCCAACTAGTTAGTTAAATAATCATATCATCTCCAAGGGAGGCAAGAAGACTTTTGGATTTAAATCTATCTCAGCGATTTGAAATTGAACAAGAAAATTAAATACTTTTATTGTCTGTTTTCTCAAGTATAAATTGAGAGAGTTAACCTACAATGACAAAGTTTCCCTATGCTCAGGAATTCGATTTTGCATTCTTGGGCTTTTATTCATTACGATTTAGTTCAACCTTTGGGCATTTGATATTTTATGTTAAATTTTAGCTAACATCCATTTTGAAAAAAATTTTTTTATTCAATGAGATTATCATCTTGCTTTAATATAAGAGTTTGGATAGTTGTCATGACCCACTGATTGCACATAACTACAAATATGTCTTTTAGTTCTGAGTGACTGCAGTCAGGACAAAAGTTGATGTCCCAATTTAGGCTTAGAGACAGTCAAATCTGAAATTATTTTACATTTTCAAGACCTTTCCTTTTTTTTCAGCTAGAAAGTACATTGATATACCAACCTCAACTAGTTTAGTGAAGCAGTATTTTGAGAAAGATTAATTTTTTGCTCATATGCTTTTCTTTTAGTGGTGACATGTGTTTTATGAATATCACAATTTTCTGCAGGATGAGAAATATTCGGTTGAAAAGTTAAGATAGCATCTCAGTGACAACATTCTGAGTAACTCTGCCAGTCAATTAGTTGTTTAATGGTAACAGATTACATTTATAAGTTTATAAAGCACAGCTTCCACATTCTCTGTTTCATTACATCTTCAAAGTCATCCTGTGAGGTGTCATACAAAGCTCCTCAGGGCTAACATGTGAATGTTGCCCTTTGATTATATGCTATCTCACGCCGGAAGTGTGCAAAACAATAATAACACTCTTTCCAACTAGTCCTTAGTGAACCCTCTGTGTCAAACACCCCCATATGCTTTCTACACCATTAAATCATTTAGTATCCATCCCCAAACGCTATGACAAAGAAAATTTTACTATCCATATTTTAAGATATTGTTAATCATTTGTTTCCATACTCTGCTAATGACTAAGAACATCCTAAAGATTGAAAAGTAATTGCTGCTTTAAATGAGGTAATAAAATATTGAGACTATAAACTCAGAGTTTCAAGAGCCCCAGAAAGCATCTGTACTCGAGGGTTGTTCCTGAATGAGTGTGACCCCCTTCACATTATTTGACCTTGATTTAATCAAGATGTTATATGAGTGCATCAAATTTAGAAATATGTCTTGGCCTGAGTGCTTTTTCAGATGAAAATCCGTATTGGAAATGAAAGATGAAATAAAGGCATGATATAAACTAATTTGATGTCAAAATAAATACAGTCATACATAGCTTAACAAGAGGAATATAGTCTGAGAAATGTATTGTTAAGTGATTTTGTCATTGTGTGAATATAATAGAGTGCACTTACACAAACTTAGATGGTATGGCCTAGTACACACTTATGCTATGTGATATAGCCTATTGCTCCTAGGCTACAAACTTGTGCAGCATGTTACCTTACTGAATACTGTGGACAATCATAATTCAATGGTAAGTATTTATGTATTAAGCGTATATAAAAATAGAAAAGGTACAATAAAATATGGTATAAAAGATAAAAAATGGTATACCTATATTGGGCACTTACCATAAATGGATCTTGCAGGACTTGAAGTTGCTCTGGGTGAGTCAGTGAGTGAATGGTGAGGGAATGTGAAGGCCTAGACCACTACTGTACACTACTATAGACTTTGTAAACACTGTCTATAGCCTACACTAAATTTACTAAAAAACACTTTTCTCTGTTTAATAATAAATTCATTTTAGCTAACTGTAACATTTTTACTTCATAAACTTCTTAATTTCTTTAACTTTTTGATTATTGAATAACACTTAAACCCATCATACAGCTGTACAAAAGTATGTTCTTTGTTTATATCCTTATTCTATAAATTATTTCTATTTTTTTAAGTTTTTTAACTTTTTTGTTAAAAATGAAGACACAAACACACACATTAGCCCAGGCCTACACAGGGTCAGGATCATCAATATCATTGTCTTCCAGCTCCTTGTCCCACTGGAAGGTTTTCAGGGGCAATAACATGCATGGAGCTGTCATCTCCTATGATTATAATAACAATATCTTCTTCTGGTATACTTGCTGAAAGACTTGTGTGAGGCTGTTTTACAGTTAACTTTTTAAAAATAAGTAGGAGTATAAAAAATCATAAAAAGTATAGTATAGCAAAAATATAAACCAGTAACATATTTATTTATCATCATCAAGTATTATGTACTGCACACAATTTTATGTGTTATTCTTTTATATGACTGGCAGTGCAGGTTTGATTATACCGTCATCACTGCAAACACTTGAGTAATGTGTTACATTATAACATTATCATGGATACAGTGTCACTAGGCAACAGGAATTTTTTAGCTCCATTGTAATCTTATGGGACCACTGTTGAACACATGCATGGTCAGTCATTGATGAAAATGTCATTATGTGGTGCATGCCTGTATTCTGAGAATTGCAAATTACATTATTAAATAATTTCACTATTAGATACCTGCTATCTTTATTTAACATTGTTATGTTCACCTTTTATATTTTTTCTACCAGGGACCATCCTTGAATTTTTTAAAAAGCAATTTTAGATTTGATCCTCCATGAATTCTTCCATAATTATAACTAATTATAACTACCTTTAATGACAATATTCACTCCAGTATGTCTTCCGCAATTTTATTAAATTTATATTATTTGGGATTTTGTTATTAACTTTATTAAGTATATTTTGTCTGTGAGTGGTGGTCACCCAGAGCTCCTCCATTTCTCTGGACATTTCCCTGAAGACATCAGACTAGGAATGACTAATCAATGTGATTTAATTTTGAAGTATATTTAAGCTCTGTAATTCTATTCTTAGATCTCATATTTTTTTCTCATGTCATTCTTGTATTTTATTTCTTTTAGCTTTGGGATTTTATCTGTCTTTTGGATCTTATACTTCAAGAAATGTTTCATCACTATTTTACTACATGGGGATTTACTTAATCACAAATGTTTAAAGCCACTTTATTAAAGTGCCAGACCCATGAGTTGAGTAAATTCCTCTCCTCATGGGGTCCCAAGATAAAGCAGGAATCCTTGGAATGTTAGAAAATGACATTCTTTACTTACCACAGGCCAGAAACCCTGTATAGGGACTGTGTAGGCAAGGTAGAAGGTCAGTTCCCCAAGGGGTTTTTATTGGCTCTATAAGTCAAGTTTCATTCCTTAAAGGAAAACACACCATTCCAGTCAAAGCCTTGGTAAAATAACCAATTTCTCCAACTGTGTCCGGCTACAAAAAAAAAAAAACAGATTCTTATTGCACTTATGCAAATAAATATATTGCCATCAGTTAAGAATACTCACAAATAGTCTCCAAATTCTGGAGAAATCAGGTAGAGAGAAACAAATATGGTCCATTTTTTTTTTTCCACAGAAGTATACTTTACTCAATTGCTAAAGGCTGTAAATAGCTCAAAGTAAAAGTTTTCTTAACTCTGGAAAACAAAACAAAGGGTTAGCAACGTTTTAAGCAAAGTCAAAAAGATTAGTTTATTCTTTTAGTTTAGTTTATGCAGTTAACTCCTGTTCTGTTTGATATTCATGAACATTCCTGTTCTTCACGAGAGTTGCAAAAGTTGTTTCCTCTATTCTAATGTCACAATTTCCAAAGTTATCAGAAACCTGCATTTAAGAACATCCGTTAGAGTTGTATAGCTGACTATAAACCACCTTTTGAAGAGGATTAAAACAAGACAATTGTCTGTGTATGACAAAACTCGTTACCACAGCCACTGGCAAAAACGTGATTGACAAAGAAATTTTGGTAATGTATAAAATAATTATTCTTGTTCCACTTTATACAAATAATCAGGCCAAGTGCAATAAAGTAAATCAGTCTTATCATAATTTGTCTTCAGTAAAAATGAGAAACTGAAGTGAGAAAAATTATGTTTCAAGAAGTATGGTACACTTGTTATTAAATTCTAGTCTCATGAGTTGTTTTTAAGTTTGTTTCTACAATTTAGGCTAAACCTGCTTATTCCTGTGAACCAACCAGTGATCTTAGACTGTTACTCAGAAGATACAAGAGGTTTGGGTAATGTAAAAATCTGGACCAATATTCTAATCATGGGCACATATTGGAATCATCTGGCAACCCTGTATCAGCTTGGTTTTAACAGTTGCTCAGTTCATGGGAAGCCTTTAAATTTAGTTTACCTGGAATAATTTTACTTATTTTGCTTTGCTGCTGTGGAATACATTGCATTTGTACTCTTTGCATACGGATGCAGAATATGCTTAGTGAATGTTTTCTTAAATGGAACACTTATCAATCTTTCAGATAGCACCTCTTGTTGAAACTCAGAGTTATGAATGGCTCTCATCATACCAATGCTTTTTGACGAGCTCCTCTCTACCCCAAATACGAGAGACTCTAATTGTTAGGCAGGAATATCATTGCTCCTCTTAAGCCTGAAGAAGCTACAGAAGGAGATGGATCTTTGTCCCTCTCCAACCCTTAGGATTAAGGGTTCTCTTGTAAAGGGGAGGGAGGAAATGTCAGAGGCATGTGAGCCAGAGCAGCTCCATCTTGAATAGCAGCTGGGTAAAATGAGGTTGAAACCTACTGGGCTGCATTCCCAGATGGTTAAGGCATTCTAAGTCACAGGATGAGACAGAAAGTCAGTACAAGATACAGGTCATAAAGACCTTGCTGATAAAACAGATTACTCTAAAGAAGATGGCCAAAACCCACCAAAAACAAGATGGCGATGAGAGTAACCACTGGTCATCCTCGCTGCTACACTCCCATCAGTGCCATGACAACGTCAGGAAGTTGCCCTATATGGTAGAGTACATTTGTTTACAAATGCCATGGTAACATCAGGAAGCTACCCTGTATGTTCTAGAAAGGGGAGGCATGAATAATCCACCCCTTGTTTAACATATCATCAAGAAATAACCATAAAAATGGGCAACCAGCAGCCCTTGGGGCTGCTCTGTCTATGGAGTAGCCAGCCATTCTTTTACTCCTTTACTTTCTGAATAAACTTGCTTTCACTTAAAAAAGATAAATAAAGTACCAGACCCTATTCCTGTTGATGTCTCCTGTTTTATCTCCACTTCCATCTTCATTCTAGTGTAGCTTATACTTCATTTTTACCATACACAATATTTTCTTTATATGTACTGCACTTGTAGACTTTCTATATAGTAAAAGATCATAAGAAGAAATAAAAGTTATTTTTATCTGACATTAGGAATCTGCATGAAACACACAGACAAATCAATCCATCCAATTTTGAACATATATTCTAAAAATCCACCTGATTGAAAGAAGGCTTCATATTTGTTTTGGGCATTTAATATTTCTCAGATATAGTGTATAAATCTCCCTCTCAGTCTCTCACTGAAACCAAATTTAAAATCATAATGATTTTAAATGGGTTTAATGTTTTTAAATTTGGTTTCAGTGAGAGATTGAGAGATAGATTAATTACAAAGAGAAATCTAGTTGCTTCTTAGAACCACTGAGCAGCTGTTTCCAAAGGTTAGAAAAGGCTCCCTGAAATGAAATGCTCTCTGCCTTTCAGATGTATATTAGGCAGTGGCAGTATGATCTACACATATTTCAATTTCCCTAAGAATGCATGGACTTGAAAACGTGCCTTTTTACTCACCTTTTGATAAATATCTTTCAATAAAAAGGAATTATGAAGGAATACACTTGAATTTTTCAAACGTTCAGAGGATGGATAAACTGTAGTATACATGAGTATTTAAGAATTAGCTTCACAACTTAGGTTTTCAATTGTTACAGGGTTCCAAAGAGAAGAAAACATGGGTTAGGAAGACAATAGTAGAAAATATCAGAATGCTTTGTGGATGTGTTATTTGTAAGCTCTTCCTGAGACCTCTTGGGCATTGTTTTCCAACAGGCCATTAATCCTTATCCCAGATGAGGAGTTAGCAGAGAAAATTCCTTGGGACAGAGATCTCTATGGAAATGCTACTTATGTACAATTAGTTTCCTACTGAACTGAGGTTGGTAGGAAGTCTCTTCTGTTGTCAGATGTGTTTTAAAATACATTTACTCAATTTCCCAAAACAGTAGACACTAATTTTAAATGAGATGCAATTAGAGATGAGCTAGTTTGAATAAATGATTCTGGGGAACTTAAATGAGAATTCCCTGAATACCTTACCTCATTAACTTCTAGACTACCTCACATAAAATTTAATCATTTCTAGTTGTAAGAATAAAGGGGCACAAAAATGAGTTGAAAAGGAAGAAAGATAATAAAAAGATATTTCCAATGAGAAGGAATCAAGTGATAGTTTAAAACATTTCATAATATTTAATGCTTTCATATTAAAATGATGAAATGATAATTTCTTCACTCTCACCAAGCACATACCACATAACATTAGGCAGATACACAGATAACTTTGAGATTTTAAAAATTACATACAAAATGCATAAATACATTATGTTGAAAAACAAATTCAAGTGCATGGGATAGCAAATACAAATTTAAAGGGTTTTTTTTTTAAGATGGAGTCTTGCTGTGTTGCCCAGTCTGGAGTGCAGTGGTATGATCTCAGCTCACTGCAACCTCTGCTGTACAGTTCAAGCGATTCTCCTGCCGCAGCCTCCCAAGTGGCTGGGATTACAGGCATTCCCTTTGATGACCTACTGTCATGGTCTGTTGTCCCTCTCCTTTCTTTAAAGGTAACCGTTAGTGTCATAAGGGTGTGCATCTTTCCACATTACATATGTGCTGGATATTTTCCACTCCCCCTTCCTTCCCCTGCCCCAGATTCACTCTCTATCCAACCATGTTTGTTTCTACCCTGTGTTGTGCCTCTAGAGGCGAAATCAAGAGAATTCCATGATATTTGACTTCTGGTTGTGTTCAGCCAATGAGTCACCAGCTGAGGATTAGAGTGAGGCAGCAGCTAGTTTGAAGTATTTTCCCCTACCCTCTCCTTCAGATGGGACAAATGAGGCTACTTGTATTGCTCAACCAAAGATCACAGGTCATGGATGTAGCCACGTACAGGTTCTCTCTCTTTCTGCTTTGTAATAGTACTTTCTCCCTTTGCTACTTCAGGCCTTGTGTTGGTTGCTAAGCCTCCCAACTGTTGCTAGATTCAGAGTAGTCCATATATAATACATATACAGAAATCCCTTGTTGATGTTCCTAAATCCTTCTCACAACTTTGTATTTACTTCTTTTGTTAAACCTCTTTCAGTTCCCATAGGAGCATGCCATCTATTTTCTGCTGGGACCATAGGTGACTGTAACTTTCCATTACAAACAAAGGTCATTTCCTGCTTTAGGACTTTTGAATTAGATGTTTTTAGGTCTAAAATGCTCTTTCTTTGATTTTATCATGACTAGCTCCTTTCTGTGTTTCAGGTTGATCTCAAATGTCACCTAAGAAGGAATATCTAATATGAATATACTACACAGTATCTCTATATCATATTCTCTTTTAATTTTCTGCAAAAGAATGAAAGCTTTCTTAGTTATTTTGCTTTTGAAGTCTCCCCCTCTAGTATGCATAGTTTTTGACAATAGCAACTTAAATAATACAATTAAATCATCTTGAACATATTGTTACTTGATTTTTACATACATATGTACACGCACACACACGCACACACACTTTTTGTCATTTCAGAGACAATGACTGATAAAGGAATTTTTTTCTTTTAAACACATCTCTAGCTTATCTACTTTTGCTGAATTCCATAAACTTTGGTATGTTGTGTTTCTATTTTCATTCTTTGCAAATTATTTGCTATTTTCCCTTGTGATTTCCTCTGAGCCATTCATTATTTAGGAATGTGTTGTTTCATCGCCACTTACTTGTGTATTTCACAATATTTTGCCTGATATTGATTTCTAATTTTATTCCATTGTGGTTAGAGGACATCCTTTACATTATTTTAATCTTTTAAATGTATTGTGATTTGCTTTATGACCTTATAGACTAATCTGTAGAATGTTTCATGTGCCCTGAGTAATATATGTATTCTACTACTATTGGGTGGAGTTTTCTGTAGAGGTCAATTAGCTGTAGTTAGTTTATAATGCTGTTCACATCTTCTATTTCCTTGTGGACCTTTATCTAATTGTTCTATTGTTATTGAAAGTGGGATGCTGACATTGAACTATAATTATGGAATTATCTATTGCTCCAAACAGTTCTGTTAGTCTTTGTTTTATGTAGTTTGGAGATCTGCTGCAAGGTGCATATGTACTTATAATTGATGTATCTTCTTGATGGACCAGCGATTTTATCATCATAAATTGTCCTTCTTTGTTTCCAGTAATAATTCTTGTCTTTTTGTTGATATTGTGTAATATCAGTATAGCCATCCATTAGCACTCTATCTTGCTTACTCTTTGAATGGAATACTTTTTTCATCTTTTCAGTTTCAACCTATTTGCATTTTTGAATCTAAAGTGAATATATTGTTGACAGTATATCATTGGATTGTCTTTTTAAATAAACCTTGTGAATCTCTTCCATTTTTTAAATGAATAGACTATTTTTCAGAAGCTTTAGGTTTACAAAAAATTGAATGGAAGGTGTAGAGAACTCACATGTAACCCCTTTTACTCCCTCCCCCAGAGTTTCTTTTATTATTAACAACTTGCATTCATGTGGTACATTTGTTATAATTGATAAGCCAATATTAATACGTTATTAGTAACCAAATTCCATAGTTTACATTAGGGTTGATGGTGTGTGTTTTACATTCTATGGGTTTTGACAAATGTTTAATAACATGTATTCCCCCATTCAGTATCATAAAGAATGGTTTCACTGCCTTAAAAATTCCCTGTTCTCCTTCCATTCATCATTTCCTCCCCTCCTCCCCGGGAGCCCCTGACAACCACTGATTTTTTATTGTTTCCATAACTGTGCTTTTTCCAGAATATCATACAATTGAAATCATATATAATATAGACTTTTCTGACTGGCTTCTTTGACTTAGTAATATGCATTTAAATTTCTTCCAGGTCTGGGCTTTACAACTCATTTTTTATAATTGAATAATATTCCATTCTATGAATGTACCACAGTCTGCTTATTCATTCATTTATTAAAGGACTTTTTTTTTTTTTTGCTTCCAAGCTTTGGAAATTAGGAATAAAGCTACTGCAAACATTTGTGTACAGGTTCTGTGTGGACATAACGTTTCAGATTATTTGGGTTAATACCAGGACACGTGAGTGCTGGATTCTATGGTTAAGATGTTTAGTGTTGTATGAAACTGTCCAGTTGTCCTCTAGAGTGGTTGTACACTTTTGGATTTCTGTAATCAGTGAATGAGAGTTCCTGTTATTTATCTCTTTGTCAACATCTGATGTTTTCAGTGGTTTGCTATGGTTGATAATGTCTCAGATTTCTTTAGGCTGTTTTATTTTTCTTCATTCTTTTTTCTTTTTATTACTCTGACTAGATAATCTCAATTGACCTATCTTGTAGTTTGTTGATTCTTCCTTCTGCTTGTTAAAATCTGGTGTTCAGGTCTTCTGCTGCATTTTTTATTTCCATCACTGTACTTTTTCATCTCTAGAATTTGACTTGGTTCTTTAACAACAAATAATGTCTATCTCTTTAATAATTTTCTCTATTTAGTGAGAAATAGTTGTCATATCTTCCTTTAGTTCTTTAAACATGGTTTATTTCAGCTCTTTGACCCTATTTTTAAAGTAGCTGATGTAAGCCTTTGTCCAACAAGTTCAACACCTAGATTTGCTGCTATTGATTGCATTTCCCCCTCCTTTTATGACCCATACTTCCTGTGTCTTTCTTCACTTGTATTATAATTTTATGTTGAAAACTAGATACTTCATTTCATTTATTTTTATTTTTAAAACTTTTATCTTAAGTTCAAAGGTACATACGCAGGTCATGGGGGTTTGTTGTAGAGATTATTTCATCACCCAGGTATTAAGCATAGCATCCATTAGTTATTTTTCCTGATCCTCTCTGTCCTCCCATCCTCCACCCTCCACCAGGCCACAGTATGTATTGTTTCCCTCTATGTGTCCATATGTTTTCATCATTTAGCTCCCAGTTACAAGTGAGAACATGTGGTATTCAATTTTCTGTTACTGTGTTAGTTTGCTAAGGATAATGGCCTCCAACTCCATCTATGTTCCTGAAAGGGACATGATCTCATTCTTTTTTATGGCTGCATAGTATTCCACGGTGTGTATGTACCACATTTTCTTTATCGAGTCTATCATTGATGGGCATTTAGGTTGATTCCATGTCTTTGCTATTGTGAGTAGTGCTCCAATAAACATATGTATGCATGTGTTTTCACAATTGAACAACTTATATTCCTTTGGGTGCTTACCCAGTAATGAGATTGGTGGGTCAAATGGTATTACTGTCTTTAGAACTTTGAGGAATTGCCACAATGCCTTCCACAATGGTTGAACTAATTTACACTCCCACCAACAGTGTATACATGTTTGTTTTTCTCCATAACCTTCCCAGCATCTGTTCTTCTCTGACTTTTTAATAATAGCCATTCTGACTGGTGTGATAAGGTATCTCCTTGTGGTTTTGATTTGCATTTCTCTAATGATCAGTGATGTTGAGCTTTTTTCATATGATTGTTGGCTGCATGTATGTCTTCTTTTGAAAACTGTCGGCTCATGTTCTTTGCTCACTTTTTAATGGGGTTGTTTTTCTTTCTTATAAATTTGGAAAACTAAATATTTTAAATACTAGAAATGGCAACTGTGGAAACCAGATTCTCCCTGTCTCACTAGAATTTGTTGTTGCTGCTTATTAATGTAGTTGTTGCTGCTTATTAATGTAGTTGTTGCTTGCTTGTTTAGTGAATACTCCCAAATAATTCTCTAAAGTCTGCCTTCTTTGTGGTGTAGGGCCATTAAAATCTGTACTCAGGTAGTCTAGTGGCCAGCAAATAATTGGACAGAAATTTCTTTCAATGCCTGGGACTAATAAATCTTCCAGTTTCTGTCAAAGACCTCTATGTTCATATTGAGGCATGACTCTGACACCTAGTCAGGCAGTTCACATCTCTACCTTAGCCTCCACTTACTTCTTCCTGAAATACTGAAGGTCAGCCAGAGACAAGAGTTTAGAATCTTCTCAGTTCTTGCTTGAGCATTTATAGAGTCCTGAATCTGAACACAGCCATATGCATATACATGAAATTCCTGGCATATGGCAAAGATTTTCAAAATCCCTATAGACATCCCATTCCTTACATTTTTTAAGCTCTTTTATTGCTTTATGGTCTGCCCCAACTTTTATCAATTGCTTTAGTCAGAAGTGAAGTTAAAGCAGTCACTTGAAATTATTTTCAACAAATACCTGCTGAGAAAATGCTTTTTGCATTGGTCGAGGTCTGAGTCATGGTCAAATACAGACAGACTCATGAATGAAGTCTTCCAAAAAGCCCCAGCCAGGTAAATTAAAGACATATCTTTATAAGTTTATACATATATCTTTATAAAAGGTATATAAAATATTTCACTTTTCATTCTTTTTTGGTATTTTGGTATTTCAGGAGATTTGATTTTTTTTGTTTTGATGCTTATATTTACACATTAGTCCCTCTTTTAGGCATCATTGATTGGTTTTCTAAAATGAGCACTATATTTATTTATTTATTTAATTTTTCAATATATTATAGTTGTACATATTTTGGGGTAGATGTGTTTTCTTACACATATACAATGTGTAATGATTAAATCAGAGTGATTATAATATCTATCACCACAAACACTTTGTGTTGTGAAAATTACAATTTTTTTCTAGCTATTTTGAAATATACAATATATGTTATGCTAATATTAATAAATGTTAGTTGTATTTTCTCTACTGTATTATCAAATACTAAAAATTATTCCTTGTATCTAACTCTATTTTTGTACCCACTAACAAACTCTTTTTCATCTGTTTTTCCTTGCATCCATTTGCAGACTCTGATAAGCACCATTCTACCCTTGACCTTCATAAGATCCACTTTTTTTAGCTCCTGCATACCAGTGAGAACATGATATATTTGTATTTCTGTTCATGGTTTATTTCACTTAACATAATGACTTCCAATTTTATCCATGTTGCTACTAATGAAAGGATTTCATTATTTTTTATGGTTGAATGATATTCCATCATGTATATATATTACATTTTCTTTATCCATCCTTCTCTTGCTAGACACTGGTGTTGCATTCTTTGTGTGTTTCTATAGGTGAAGTGAGGTTCTTTTTTTTCTTTCCAATTTTTTTTTTTGCTTTTTTTTATTTTTAATTTTTTTTATTATACTTTAAGTTTTAGGGTACATGTGCACAACGTATTTCAGGTTCAAGTGGTACATGTGCAGGTTTGTTACATCAGTAAATTTTTTGTTATGGGGGTTTGGTGTACAGATAATTTTGTCACCCAGGGAATTAGCATTATACCCATTAAGTAGCTTTTCTTTTTTTTTAAACTTTAATTTTAGGTTCAGGGTACCTGTGCAGGTTTGTTATATAGGTAAATTGTGTGTCACATGGGTTTGGTGTACAGATTATTTTGTCACCCATGTAATAAGTGTGGTAACCAATGGGTTGGTTTTGATCCTCACCTCCCCCATCATAGGCCCCAGTTTCTATTGTTCTTTTCTTTGTGTCCTTATGTACTCAATATTTAACTCCCAATTATAAGTGAGAACATGCCATACTGGGGTTTCCATTCCTTCACCAATTTGCTTAGGATGATAGCTTCCAGCTCCATCCCTATTACTGCAAAGACCAAAGTCTCGTTTTTTATAGCTGCATAGTATTCTGTGGTATATATGTTTTCTGTATCCAGTCCACCACTGATGGACAACTAGGTTGATTCTGTGACTTTGATATTGTAAATAGTGCTGCACTGAAAATCTGCATGCATATTGCTTTATGGCAGAATGATTTATATTACTTTGGTTATACACCTAGTAATGGGATTGCTGGATCAAGTGGTAGTTCTATTTTAAGTTATTTGAGAAATCTCCAGACTTCTTTCTACAGTGGCTGAACTAGTTTTCATTTCCACCAGTGGTATATAAATGTTCCCTTTTCTCCACCACCTCACCAGCAAATGTTATTTCCTAACTTTTTAATAGTAGCCATTTTGACCGGTGTGGGACAATATCTCATTGTGGTTTTGATTTGCATTTCTCTGGTGATTAGTGATATTGAACTTTTTAATATACTTGTTAGATGTGTATATCTTCTTTTGAGAAGTGTCTGTTCATGCCATTTGCTCGTTTTAAAAATAGAGTTGTTTGTTTTTCACTTTTTTATTTGTTTAAGTTCCTTATAGATTCTGGATATTAGACCTTTGCCAGATGCATAGTTTGCAAATATTTTCTCCCATTCTGTAAGTTGTGTGTGTATTCCGTTGATAGTTTCTTTTGCTATGCAGAAGCTCTTTAGTTTAATTATATTCTATTTGTCAATTTTTGGTTTTGTTGTGATTGCTTTTGGAGTCCTCGTCTTGAAGTCTTCGTGAAAGTCGATGTCCAGAATGGTATTTCCTAGAATTTCTTCTATTGTTTTTATACATTTGGGTTGTACATTTAAGTCTTTAATCTATCTTGAGTTTATTTTTGTGTATGGTAAAAGGAACAGGTTCAATTCCAGTCTTCTACATATGGCTAGCCTGCTATGCCAGCACTATTTATTGAAGAGTTTCTGGCAGGCAGCAGGCAGCATATAATTTGGTCTTGTTTTTAATTCATTTAACCATTGTATGTCTTTTAAATAGAATGTAGTCTGTTTACATTCAATTTTATTTTTGATAGTTCATGCCTTAGTACTGCCATTTTGTTACTTGTTTTCTAATTTCGTAATTCCTCTCTTCCTTCCTTCCTTCCTTTCCTTCCTTCCTTCCTGCCTTCCTCTCTTTCTCTCTTTCCCCCTCTCCCTCCCCTTCCCCTTCCCCTTCCTTCCTTCCTTCCTTCTTTCCTTTTTTCCTTGTTATTTTCCTCTGGTAGTATGTTTTAATTTGTTGCTTTTTATTGTTAGTGTATCCATTATAAGTTTTTGCACTGTGGTGTCCATGAGGCTTACGAAAAGTATCCTATAATATAACATGTAGTATAAAACTGATAGCAACTTAACTTTGCTCTCATAAATAAAAACAAACTTCCAACTAAAAACTTATACACATTAACTCCATTCTTCACCCATATTTTGAATTTTGATGTTGCAATTTACATTTTTTATATTGCCTATCTCTTAAAAATTGTTGTAGTTATTATTTTAAATTGTTTTTAGTTTTCTTACTAAATAGGTAAGTGGTTTAAATATAATGACTTCATTTTTAGTATGACAATCACATTAACATTCTTTCAGTTTGGTGAACTTCCTTTAGCAGTTCTCATAGGACAGGTTTGGTAGTGATAGAATGAGCATTATTGAAATAGTTAATAACCTCTTCTTTCCTCCATTTCTCCAGCATCTATTTCAAAATGACAATTGATACAATATGTACTTTTTATTTATACAATATATACATACATACTTTTTACACAATTTATTTATACAATATATACATATTTATACTCTATATATATACAATTTATACAATATATACTTTTTAAAAGTTTGGAATGTTGTTATCCTCCTCTAGATAGAATTTATTTTTGCTTTTGGGAAGTAATTAAAGTAGGAAAACATCCCTAATTTTGAATGGGGTGGATAGAATTGGGACATACATTGCTGGTAGGAGCGTAAAATGACACAGACACTTTGGAACACTGTTTTGTGGTTTCTTTAAAAGTTACACATACCTTATGGCCCATTCATTCAACTCTTAAATATCTGTTCAAGAGAAGTAAAAACATTTGCTCAAATGAAGACCTGTGCTGAATATTTATAGCCACTTTTTTCAAAATACTGTGGCGAAAACCTAGAATTACTGTAAGTATCTGTCAACGGATGTAATGAATAAATTATACTATATCCTTATTATTGAACATTACTAGTAATGAAAACAAAACAATGTGCTGGCCTGCAACCATTTTAGATGAATTTCAAAATATTTTTGCTGAATGCAGAAAGCAAGACTCAAAATAATACACACTATGTAGATCTATCACTAAGAATTCAAGAACATGCAAACTTATCTATGAGGGCATAAATTAGAGTAGTAGTTGACTAAGTCTGAAATCAAAAGACAAAATAGATTTTGGAGAGTGATGGAAATGTTCTCTACCTTGATTGAGGTATTGGTATCATGGGTATATACAACTATAAAAATACTGACTTGCATACTTTAAATTATGTAGTTTATTTTGCATATGCTATCATCAGCAAAGGTGATTATATACTCTAGATTGCAGTCATTTTTAGGGCTGGCCTATATTCAGTCTATGGTTATTCATAGGTTGCAGCCATTCACCCATTCTAGCTGAAAGTCTTGGGTATTTATATGGGCCAAAATTTCCATTATTTGTCTCCCCAGAAATGTAAAATCATATAAGCCCTGTTTCTTAGCCTCTTAGTCACCAGATTCTGTTCTGATGTATAGCTGGTGCAAAAAACAAATATCTTTTTAAAAATATTTTTATTATACTTTAAGTTCTAAGGTACATGTGCACAATGTGCAGGTTTGTTACATAGGTATACATGTGCCATGTTGGTTTGCTGCACCCATCAACCTGTCATTTACATTAGGTATTTCTCCTAATGCTATCCCTCCCACAGCTCCCCACCCTCTAACAGGCCCCAGTGTGTGATGTTCCCCATCCTGTGTCCAAGTGTTCTTATTGTTCAATTCCCACCTATGAGTGAGAACATGTGGTCTTTGGTTTTCTATCCTCGTGATAGTTTGCTGGGAATGATGGTTTCCAGCTTCATTCATGTCCCTGCAAAGGACATCAACTCACCCTTTTTTGTGGCTGCATAGTATTCCATGGTGTATATGTGCCACATTTTCTTAATCTAGCCTATCATTGATGGACATTCCAAGTCTTTTCTATCATGAATAGTGCTACAATACACATATGTGTCCATGTGTCTTTATAATAGCATGATTTATAATCCTTTGGGTATATACCCAGTAATGGGATCACTGGGTCAAATGGTATTTCTAGTTCTAGATCTTTGAGGAATCACCACACTGTCTTCCACAATGGTTGAACTAATTTACGTTCCCATCAACAGTGTAAAAGTGTTCCTATTTCTTCACATCCTCTCCAGCATCTGTCCTTTCCTGACTTTTCAATGATTGCCATTCTAACTGGTATGAGATGGTATCTCATTGTGGTTTTGATTTGCATTTCTCTGATGACCAGTGATGATGAGCATTTTTTATGTGTCTGTTGGCTGCATAAATGTCTTCTTTCAAGAAGTGTTTGTTCATATCCTTTGCCCACATTTTGATAGGGTTGTTTATTTTTTTCTTGTATATTTGTTTAAGTTCTTTGTAGATTCTGGATATTAGCCCTTTGTTAATTGGGTAGATTGCAAAAATTTTGTCCCATTCTGTACATTGCTTGTTCACTCTGATGGTAGTTTCTTTTGCTGTGCAGAAGCTCTTTAGTTTAATTAGATCCCATGCATCTATTTTGGCTTTTGTTGCCATTGCTTTTGGTGTTTTAGTCACGAAGTCTTTGCCCATGCCTGTGTCCTGAATGGTATTGCCTAGGTTTTCTTCTAGGGTTTTTATGGTTTTAGGTCTAACATTTAAGTCTTTAATCCATCTTGAATTAATTTTTGTATAGGGTGTAAGGAATGGATCCAGTTGCAGCTTTCTACATGGTGGCTAGCCAGTTTTCCCAGAAAATATTATAAACAACTCTATGGAAATAAACTAGAAAATCTAGAAGAAATTGATAAATTCCTGGACACATACACCCTCCCAAAACTAAACCAGGGAGAAGTTGAATCTCTGAATAGACCACTAACAGGTTATGAAATTGAGGCAATGATTAATAGCCTACCAACCAAAAAAAGTCCAGAACGAGATGGATTCACAGCCGAATTCTACCAGAGGTACAAGGAGGAGCTGGTACCATTCCTTCTGAAACTATTCCAATCAATAGAAAAAGAGAGAATCCTCCCTAACTCATTTTATGATGCCAGCATCATCCTGATACCAAAGCCTGTCAGAGACACAACAAAAAAAAAGAGAATTTGTATTTCTGTGGGATCAGTAGTGATATCTCCTTTATTATTTTTTAATAGATCTATTTGATTTTTCTCTTTTCTTCATTATTAGTCTTGCTAGCAGTCCATCAATTTTGTGGATCTTTTCAAAATCCACCTCCTGGATTAACTGATTCAGATTTTCTATTTTTTCATGATTCATTGTTGTTATGTTTCTAGAAATCTAACCATTTCTTCTAGGTCATCCTATTTGTTGGTGTAAAATTGTTCGCAGTATTCTTTTATGATCTTTTGTACTTCTGTAGTTTCAATTTTAATGTCTCCTCTTTCATTTCTTATTTTGTTAGAGTCTTCTTTTTTTTCTTAGTTGGTCTGCTAAAGTTTTGTCAATTGTTTTTATCTTTTCAAAAACTGAACTGTTAGTTTTGCAAATGTGTTCTTTTGTTTTCTAGTCTCTTACTTATTTCTGCTCTGATCTTTGTTATTTCCTTCCTTCTGCTAACTTTGGGATTAGTTTGCTCTTCTCTTTTTCTAGCTTCTTGAAATGTAACATTAGGTTGTTTGTTTGGGATCTTTCTTCTTTTTTAATATCGGCATTTATTACTATAAACTTTCCTCCTGCTAAGAACTTCTTTTGTTACATCCCATAAGTTGTGGTACGTTGCATTTTCATTTTCATCTGTCTTAAGATATTTTTTAATTTCCCTTTTGATTTCTTCATTAACCCTTTGTTTATTCAAGAGCGTGTTGGTTAATTTCCACGTATGTAATATTTTCAAATTTTATCGTATTATTTATTTCTATTCATTTCTACTTTCATACTTTTGTGGTCAGAAAAGATACTTGATATGATTTCAGTCTTCTTAAAACTGTTGAGTCTTATTTTGTTACCTTATTTGGATAATGTCCCATTTGCACTTGAGAAGAATGAATATTCTGTTGCTGTTGGATGGAATGTTCTATATATGTCTGTTAGGTCCACTTGGTCTAAAGTGTATGTCAAGTCCAGTGTTTCCTTATTGATTTTTGTCTAGATGATATATCCACTGTTGAAAGTAAAGTATTGAAATCCTCTGCTATTATTGTATTGCAGTCTATCTCTTTTCAGGTCTACTAATGCTTTCTTTATATGTATAGGTGATCTTATATTAGGTGCATATATATTTACAATTGTTAAGTCCTTTTCATGAATTGACCCTTTTATCATTACATAATGACCTTCTTTGTCTCTTTTAACAGTTTTGGACTTAAAGTTCATCTCATAAAAGTACAGCTACCCTTGTCTTTTGCTTTCCACTTGCATGAAATAATTTTTTCAATCAATGTGTGTTCTTCAAGTTAAAGTGAACCTCTTACAGGCAGCCTACGTCTGCATATAGTTTTTCATTTTCTTTCCAATGCAAAGCATTTTAGTAGGTTGTCAAATATACAATTATTAGAAATATCTAAATATTACCTGTAAAAACTAGTATATCACATTAGATAATTCTATAAAATAAGGAAACACAAATCACACATTGCCACAACCTCTGCAGTCCAATAATATCCCCCGTTGATAGTACAAATTACAAATACATTTTTAAAATAAAGACATGATTTCGACATTTAAACCAAAGTAACTATGGCTAACCTAAATACATTCATTCATCAAGTACAATAAATTAAGCATTGCTACTTATAGTCACTAATAACAAAATTTTAGGTTCAATTTTACCTAAAATTTCATAAATCTTCCAATACAGTTCCCATAGTAAAGTGTCTTTGTGTGTGCCATTTTAATTTATATGCGGGTGCATCATATATCAGACTTAAGACTATTTCACTTCATAATTAAATTGTTCATACATATATATTGAAAGTGAACACCCGGCCAAAATTTAATCCCAATGATGACAAAATGTAAAATTGTTTTAAATTCTTGAATGCATATACTGATTTGTTTAATTGCCTGCATACTACTTTTTTTAATTAGAGACTATCAAAGTAAGTAATAAGAATTTAAATATTAACTCAAAAAAAGATGAAGCCTTCAACCTTCCTACAATAGTAACAAGCATTTTAAATAACAATACAAGGAGTCTGTAAGCTAAAAAGTAACTTCATATTCATTGCAAAACTTAAAATACCAGTGAATTGAAGATAAGATTGAGGTCTAAAATATTTGTACTGTATTGTAAAATACAATTTAAAATGTGCAGTTAATTTGCTTGTGGACATGTAATGGAATGTTTTTCAACAGTAATGTTATGTTAAACACACTTTAAATGGTCACTCTAAGCAAACATAACCTTACTAGCAAGAAAAGCGAAAAATTAAGGCTTTCATGCTATCTATATCTACTACACAAAGTCAAAAGTCAAATAGAGCTTACAATGTGGCAAAATATTTCTAACTTCTGTGACATTAGTTGCTTCACCTCAACTCAATACTTATCATCTTATCTTTATACAAACTCAAATGCTAGTTATCTTTACTATCCATAAATACAAATTAAACTAAGGAGCTTCCGCACAGCAAAAGAAACTATAAATAGAATAAACAGACAACTTACGGAAGGTGAGAAAAGATTCACAAACTATGCACACAACAAAGGTCTAATATCCAGAATCTATAAGGAACTTAAATCAACAAACATAACCCCATTAAAAAATTAACAAATGACAAAGGATGAACAGACACTTCTCAAAAGAAGACATAAAGGTGACCAATAAACATATGGAAAAAATTGTTCATCATTACTAATCATCAGAGAAACGGAAATCAAAACCACAATGAGATTCCATCTCACACCAGTCAGAATGGCTGCTATTTAAAAGTCAAAAAACAACAGATATTGCGGAGGCTGCAGAGAAACGCGAACGCTTATACACTGTTGGTGAGAATGAACATTAGTTCAGCCACTGTGGAAAGCAGTTTGGAGAATTTTCCAAAAGAACTAAAAACAGAGCTACCATTGGACCCAGCAATTCCATTACCGCGTATTTAGTCAAAGGAAAATATATCATTATACCAAAAGGACACACGCACTCATGTTCATGGCAGCACTATTCACAATAGCAGAGACATAGAACCAACCTAGGTGCCCATCAGTGGTGGATTGGATAGAGACAATGTGGAGTTCCGGCAGAGACCCGGGTGAGACGCGCTGACCATGGGCCTGCGGAGGGGCTGGGGGTTCAGGACCTCCCGCAGCCTCTGCCCTGCAGGCTCCAGGTGCCCTCGCTGTGGCTCCCCTCGCGGGCCCAGGCCTGAAGAAGCCGCGAACCTCTCTTCCCTACCCCACCTCGGTGACAGATGGCAGCTCCTCTCTCAGCCCAGACCCCGCCAGCCTCCATGTCTCCCGGCCCAGCCCTGCGGGGCCTAAACTAAGCCCCTGCCGAGCTGCTAGGATGCAGCGCATTTGAGTGGCTGCGGGCGTGGGGGGCCGGGAAGCATGGCGACCGCCCCAACTCGCAGCGGAGGCCGTTAGGGTGTGGAGGGCGCGGGAAGGTGGGTCGCCTGCCACTGGGGCGCGGGCAGATCGGACCGCTCTGTCCCAACTGGTCGAGACCGACCTAGTCCTGACGACAGGAACAACGGCATTAACAACGGCCGGAAGGTGAGCGGTGTCCCAGACAACGACGGATAGCGGCCACCTGGCCACTGGTCTTCCTTCTCTACCAGACCTGTATGTGGGAAGAGAGAAGTGGTGGAACAACAGGCCACATTTGGCGCATTGGAGATGAAATTCTTGGTTGAAAATTCTTTTCTTTAAGAATGTTGAATATTGGCCCCCACTCTCTTCTGGCTTGTAGGGTTTCTGCAGAGAGATATGCTGTTAGTCTGATGGGCTTCCCTTTATAGGTAACCTGACCCTTCTCTCTGGCTGCCCTTAACTTTTTTTCCTTCATTTCAAGCTTGGAGAATCTGACAATTACGTTTCTTGGGGTTGCTTTTCTCGAGCAGTATCTTAGTGGTGTTCTCGTATTTCCTGAATTTGAATGTTGGCCTGTATTGCTACCTTGTGGAAGTTCTCCTGGATAATATCCTGAAGCTGTTTTCCAGCTTGGTTCCATTCTTCTCGTCACTTTCAGGTAAACCAATCAAACATAAGTTTGGTCTTTTCACATAGTCCCATATTTCCTGGAGGCTTTGTTTGTTCCTTTTCATTCTTTTTTCTCTAATCTTGTCTTCACACCTTATTTCAGTAAGTTGGTCTTCAGTCTCTAATATCCGTTCTTCTGCTTGATCGATTTGGCTATTGATCCTTGTGTATATCTTACAAAGTTCTCGTGCTGTGTTTTTCAGCTCCTCAGGTCATTTATGTTCTCCTCTAAACTGGCTAGTCTAGTTAGCAGTTTCTGTAACCTTTTATCAAGGTTCTTAGCTTCCTTGCATTGGGTTAGAACATGCTCCTTTAGCTCACAGGAGTTTGTTATTACACACCTTGTGAAGCCTACTTCTGTCATTCATCAATCTCCTTCTCCAGTTTTGTGCCCTTGCTGGAGAGGAGTTGAGATCATTTTGAGTAGAAGAGGCATTCTGGTTTTTGGAATTTTCAGCGTTTTTATGCTAGTTTTTCCTCATCTTTGTGGATTTATCTACCTTTGATCTTTGAGGCTGATGACTTTGGATGGGGTTTTTGTGTGACGGTCCTTTATGTTGATGTTGACGTTGTTTCTGTTTGTTAGTTTTCCTTATAACAGTCAGGCCCCTCTTCTGCGGGTCTGCTGCAGTTTGCTGGAAGTGTACTCCAGACCCTGTTTGCCTGGGTATCACCAGCAGAGGCTGTAGAACAGCAAAGATTGCTTCCTGCTCCTTCCTCTGGAAGCTTCGTCCCAGAAGGGCACTGGCCTGATGACAGCTGGAGCTCTCCTGTGTGAGGTTCTGTCAAGCCCTGTTGGGAGTTGTCTCCCAGTCAGGAGGCATGGGGGTTAGGGACCCACTTGAGGAGGGAGTGTGTCCCTTAAGAGAACTGGTGTGCTGTGCTGGGAGAATCCCTCTTGTCAGGATCAGCTGCTGTCTTCAGAGCAGGCAGGCAGGAACGATTAAATCTGCTTGTGCTGTGCCCACAGCCACCTCTTCCCCAGGTGCTCTGTCCCAGGGAGATGGGGGTTTTGTCTGTAAGCCTCTGACTGGGGCTGTTACCTTTCTTTCAGAGATGCCCTGCCCAGTGAGGGGGAATCTAGAGAAGCAGTCTGGCCACAGCTGCTTTGCTGCACTGTGATGAATTTGCCAGTCCATACCTCCAAGACTCCTTGGAACTGTCAGGGAAAATGGCCTACTAAAGCCTCAGTAATGGCAGACGTCCCTCATCCCATGAAGCTCAATTGTCCTAGGTTGACTTCAGACTGCTGTGCTGGCAGTGAGAATTTCAAGCCAGTGGTTCTTAGCTTGCTAGGTTCTGTGGGAGTGGGACCTGCTGAGCGAGACCACTTGGCTCCCTGGCTTCAGCCTCCTTTCCAGGGGAGTAAATGGTTCTGTCTCGCTGGGGTTCCAGGCATCACTAGGGTAGGAAAAATACTCCTTCATCTAGCTCTGTGTCTGCCCAAATGGCCACCCAGTTTTGTGCTTGAAACCTAAGGCCCTGGTGGTGTAGGCACACAAGGGAATCTCCTGATCTACAGATTGCAAAAACCATGGAAAAAGTGTAGTAACAAGCTAGGCAGCACTGTCCCTCATGGCTCCCCTGGCTCGGGGAAAGAGGTCCCCTGGCCTCTTGAACTTCCTGGGTAAGCAACTCCCCACCCTTCTTCTGCTTGCCCTCCATGGGTTTGACCTGCTGCCTAACCAGTCCTAATGAGAGGAACGGGGTACCTCAGTTGGAAATGCAGAAATCACCTGCCATCTGGATTGGTCTTGCTGGGAGCTGCAAACCAGAACTGCTCCTATTTGGCCGTCTTCGGCTTCATCCTTTTGTGTTTTTAAGAACAGTCTTCCCTATGAATTTTACCAAAAAGTGTACTCAGTACAGTAGTTTACTAACTCTACTTTTGTCATACACTAGAAACATCTTAATATCTACAAAGACTAGATGTTGAAAATTAGGACTAATTTGTCCACTTATATGCACTATATACACAGCACAGTAAAAGAAAATGCAGACATAAGGGACAATGGTAAAGTGTGCCTCACCATAAACACACTGGTATTTCAATTACCCTTTGCCCTTTCTGCTCCTCTTTCCTCCCTGAGCCAACACACATATAGTAATGTGTACTGCTCAGATAAGTGGTTTGATCCATTTCCCAAAGACAATATTTCATATGAATCAAAAGGATATCTACAAAGTGTTATTTACTCCCTCTACTTTTAACATACTTTGTGCACTTCTAGAAAGACTAGATGTTTCAAATAAGGACTTAAATTTGTCCACTATATACACAGGTAACAATGGTTATATCTGAAAGTGTCTTCTAAATAGGAACATTCTGGTCTAAAATCTTTCATTCCTTCTAACTCCTCTCTACCACCAACCTAGTGGATATAGGCATATGTGTCATTTAGAACTGATGTTATCATTTCACTTCCAAAAGTCCTTTTCAGAAGATAGCCTTTCTATGAATTTCAACAAAGTGTACAAAAATAGAGTTAGTAAACTAACTCTCATAAATTGTTATAAATTGGCAACCTCTTTAATATCTAGAGACTAGACTAGATATTATAAAATTAAGACTACTTCATCCAGTATACACACAATATATACAGTATAGCAAAGTTAAATGCAATGCATGTAACATATAGGTAATGGATTAAGCTGAAATTTTCTAGTAAACATTAGCAAAACACTTTTTATTTTTTATTTTTTATTATTATACTTTAAGTTTTAGGGTACATGTGCACATTGTGCAGGTTAGTTACATATGTATACATGTGCCACGCTGGTGCGCTGCACCCACTAACTCGCATCTAGCATTAGGTATATCTCCCAACGCTATCCCTCCCCCCTCCCCCCACCCCACAACAGTCCCCAGAGTGTGATATTCCCCTTCCTGTGTCCATGTGATCTCGTTGTTCAGTTCCCACCTATGAGTGAGAATATGCGGTGTTTGGCTTGGATGAAATTGGAAATCATCATTCTCAGTAAACTATCGCAAGAGCAAGACACTTTTTGCAATATCTTCCTTCCAATCTCCCTCAACCCAATGAACATGTACAGAGAGGACGCTGTTCACAGAGGTGGTTCAACAATGCCAGTTCCAAAAAGTATTTCTCATTACTTTTAAAAGATATTTACAGAAAGTGTTATTCTACTACTTCTATTTTTAAATACACCAAGCACTTCCAAATATCTAGAAAGATTAAATATTTCATATAACTTGTCCACCATGTACATGGCACTGTTAAATAAAATTGCACACACATAACAACAGTTATAATCTGAGGTATCTTCTAAACATGACCATTTTGGCCTTGAAGTAGTCCTTCCTTTCTTCTCTCTGCCTTTATTTCAGTAGACAAGTATAGGCATGTGTCATACTTTAGAAATGGTTGAACAAATTTAGATCCAAAAGTTATTTACAGAAGACAAGGTTTCCTATGAATTTCAACACAAAGCTTACAAAAAGTGCTAATTTTACTAAGTACTTTGTCATACACTGCCAGCCTCTTTAACATCTAGAGACTAGATGTTGCAAAATTAGGACTCATTTGTTCATTATATGCGCTATATACAGAGCAAAACACAATGCACAAAACATACAGAAAAATGGTGCCTGAAAATGTGCAAGTATGAGCACACTAGCATGTTACCTTTTGCAGTTTCATCCGTCCCAGCTCCTCTAAACTACTGAGCAAGTATAGACAGTACTATACCACTCACAAAGATGGCTTAATAATTCAATTTCCAAAACACAGTATTTCCTATGAATTTCAGCAAAAAGACATTTACAAAGTGAAATTTTGCTACCTCTACATTTAACATACATCAGGCCCTTCTAAACATCTAAATAGACTAGCGGTTTCAGGTAAGAAGTTAATCTGTCCACTATGTACACTGCAGCCTTGAATAAACTGCATACATGTAACAATAGTTATAATTTGAAGGAGTCTTCCAAATGTGAACATTCTGGCCTAAAAATCTTTCCATCTCCATCAACCCAGTGGGCAAGAATGCTCAAGTTTTCAGAAGACAATCTTCCCTAGGAATTTAAAAACAAAATGTACAAAAATATTAGTTTGCTAACTCTACTTTTGTAATTCACTGGCAACCTCCATAACATCTAGAAAGACTAGATGTAAATTAGGACTTGTTTTCCTCTATATACACTTTATACATAGATAAGTAAAAGAAAATGCACAAACATAAGATATAATGGTTAATCTTGCCTCACTGTAAGCACACTGGTGGCACAGAGCTCTCTGCACAGCCTCCTCCTCCTCCTCTCCTGAACTGGCGCATAATACAATGCATATTACTCAACTTGTGGTTTGGCCCTTCCCCCTAAAACAATGTTTCATTCGAATTTTAACAAAAAGATACTTACAAGATGTGTTATTTTACTACTTCTAGTTTAAACATATATCAGGCACCTCAGAACATCTAGAAACACTAGACATTTCAAAAAAGTGTAGCATTGTCAATGATCTATACAGTAGTAGGGAATAAAACGCACACAAAACAATGGAAAGAATATGAGAATGTCTTCTGAATATGACTAGTCTGGCACAGAACCTTCTTCTTTTCCTTCTCAGGTCTTCTTCTTCATGCCCTCTAACCCACTGAACAAATGTGGTTGTGTCTGTCGTTCCTGGTATGGCTTCCAGAAGTGGTCCAACAATTCCATTGCGAAAAGCCATTTCCAGAAGACATCTATTTTCTATCATTTCTTTTTGAACAAATGAGAATTTATAAGATGTGTGATTTTCTAACTTTATCATACATCACAACCTCTTTCCATCTAGAAGGGCTAAATGTGGCAAATGTTTTCTATTTAAAAGTTGGGGCGGGGGCAGTTGAGAACCGCTTTCTCACTTTACACACGCAGGGCCTTCTATAAACGGTGGTAATTAAATCTTCCCAAAGGGTAGTGGGCATCTCCAATACGCCAAATGTGGCCTGTTCCACCACTTCTCTCTTCCCACATCCAGGTCTGGTAGAGAAGGAAGACCAGTGGCCAGGTGGCCGCTATCCGTCGTTGTCTGGGACACTGCTCACCTTCCGGCCGTTGTTAATGCCGTTGTTCCTGTCGTCAGGACTAGGTCGGTCTCGACCAGCTGGGACAGAGCGGTCCGATCTGCCCGCGCCCCGGTGGCAGGCGACCCACCTTCCCGCGCCCTCCACACCCTAACGGCCTCCGCTGCGAGTTGGGGCGGTCGCCATGCTTCCCGGCCCCCCACGCCCGCAGCCACTCAAATGCGCTGCATCCTAGCAGCTCGGCAGGGGCTTAGTTTAGGCCCCGCAGGGCTGGGCCGGGAGACATGGAGGCCGGCGGGGTCTGGGCTGAGAGAGGAGCTGCCATCAGTCACGGAGGTGGGGTAGGGAAGAGAGGTTCGCGGCTTCTTCAGGCCTGGGCCCGCGAGGGGAGCCACAGCGAGGGCACCTGGAGCCTGCAGGGCAGAGGCTGCGGGAGGTCCTGAACCCCCAGCCCCTCCGCAGGCCCATGGTCAGCGCGTCCCACCCGGGTCTCTGCCGGAACTCCACATTGTCTCTATCCAATCCACCACTGATGGGCAGGCCTATGTCTCTGCTGTTGTGAATAGTGCTGCCATGAACATGAGTGCGTGTGTTCTTTTGGTATAATGATATATTTTCCTTTGACTAAATACGCAGGAATGGTATTGCTGGGTCCAATGGTAGCTCTGTTTTTAGTTCTTTTGGAAAATCTCCAAACTGCTTTCCACAGTGGCTGAACTAATGTTCATTCTCACCAACAGTGTATAAGCGTTCACGTTTCTCTGCAGCCTCCGCAATATCTGTTGTTTTTTGACTTTTAAATAGCAGCCATTCTGACTGGTGTTAGATGATATCTCATTGTGGTTTTGATTTGCATTTCTCTGATGATTAGTAATGATGAACAATTTTTTCATCTAGACAGAAATCAATAGGGAAACACTAGACTTGACATACACTTTGGACCAAATGGACCTAAAGACGTTATAGAACATTTCATCCAACAGCAACAGAATATTCATTCTTCTCAAGTGCAAATGAGACATTATCCAGGATCAAATATTAGGTAACAAAATAAGACTCAACAATTTTAAGAAGATTGAAATCATATCAAGTATCTTTTCTGACCACAAAATTATGAAAGTAGAAATGAATAGAAATAAATAATAGGGGAAAATTTGAAAATATTACAAATGTGGAAATTAACCAACATGCTCTTGAATAAACAATGGGTTAATGAAGAAATCAAAGGGAAGTTAAAAAATATCTTAAGACAGATGAAAATGAAAATGCAACGTACCACAACTTATGGGATGTAACAAAAGAAGTTCTTAGCAGGAGGAAAGTTTATAGTAATAAATGCCGATATTGAAAAAGAAGAAAGATCTCAAACAACCTAATGTTACATTTCAAGAAACTAGAAAAAGAGAAGAGCAAACTAATCCCAAAGTTAGCAGAAGGAAGGAAATAACAAAGATCAGAGCAGAAATAAGTAAGAGATTAGAAAACAAAAGAACACATTTGCAAAACTAACAGTTCAGTTTTTGAAAAGATAAAAACAATTGACAAAACTTTAGCAGACCAACTAAGAAAAAAAAGAAGACTCTAATAAAATAAGAAATGAAAGAGGAGACATTAAAATTGAAACTACGCAAGTACAAAAGATCATAAAAGAATACTACGAACAATTTTACACCAACAAATAGGATGACCTAGAAGAAATGGTTAGATTTCCAGAAACATAACAACAATGAATCATGAAAAAATAGAAAATCTGAACAGACTAATGAGTAAGGGGGTTGAATCAGTGATAAAAGTGTCCTAGCAAAGAAAAGCCCAGAACCTGATGGTTCATGGATTGGAGGAATTAATATTATTAAAATGTCTGTGCTGCTGAAAGTGGTATACAGATTCAATGCAATTCCTATAAAAGTTCTAATGACCTTTTTGTTTCACAGAAATAGAAAAAGCAATTCAAAAATTCATATGGAATGACAAAAATCTTAAGTAGCTAAAGCACTTTTGAGCAAAAAGACCAGAGCTGGAGGCATCACACTACCTGATTAAAGATATATTACAAAGTTATAGTATTCAAAACAGAAAGGTACTGGCATAACAACAGACACATGGACCAATGTAATGTGATAGAGAGCCCAGACATAAACTCATGCATTTGTGATTAATTGATTTTTGCCGAAGATGCCAAGAATAAACACACTATGGGGAAAGGACAGTTTCTTTAATAAATGATGCAGGGGAAATCAAATACCCACATACAGAAGAATGAAATTGAACCCTTATCTCACACCATGTGTAAAAAGCCCACTAAAAATGGTTTAAAGATTTAAATGCGAGACCTGAAAATGTAAAACTACTAGAAGAAAGCATAGGGAAAAATGTCCCTGAAATTAATCTTGGCAATACTTTCTTGGTGATGATCTCAAAAGCTCAGGAAACCAAAGCAGAAGTAGACAAATGGGATTACCTGAAACCAAAAGCTTCTCTACAACAAAGTAAATAACAGATTGAAGAGACAACCCATGGACTGGGAGAAAATATTTACAAACCATACATGGCTAATATCCAAAATATGTAAGAAATGCAAACAACTTAAATTTGTTAGCAAGAAAACAAATAACGCCATTTAAAACTGAGCAACGGACTTGAATGGACATCTTTCAAAAGACCAATAGATATATAAAAAAGTGTCTACATCACTAATCATCAGGGAAATGCAAATTAAAACAAAACAAAGAGATATCACCTCATACCTGTTAGAATGACTATTATCAATAAACTAAAAGGTAATAAGTACTGACAAGGATGTGGGGAATCCTTATATACTAATGGCAGGAATGTAAATTAATACAGGCATTATTGAAATCAGCATGGAGATTCCTCAAAAAACTAAAGATAGAATTACCATAGGATCTAGCAATTATATTTCTGGATACATAGCCAAAGAGATTGAAATTTGTATTTTAAAAATATGTTAGAGACCAGCCTGACCAATATGGTGAAACCCCATCTCTACTAAAAATACAAAAAAAATTAGCCGGGTGTGGTTTGCACCTGTAGTCCCAGCTATTCAGGTGGCTGAGACAGGAGAATTGCTTGAACCTGGGAGGCCAAGTTTGCAGTGAGCTGAGATTATGCCACTGCACTCCAGCCTGGGCTACAGAGCAAGACTCCATCTCAAAAAAAAAAAAAATGGGTAGATTTTCCTCTAATTTGGTTTTAACGTCTCTCTTTGAAGAGTGGCTAGAAACTCTAGCCTGGCTCTGATGGGCTCCAGTGGAGGTGGTTGTGGTTGTGGATGTTTTCGGTGTTCTTTTCATGGAATACTTCCTTATCCTGATGGAGAGCTAATGCCTAATTGTCCTATTTATGACCAGGTGTCCCTCTCACTGGAAACTTGTTTTCACTGGCAGACACCATTGTGGCTTTTGTCTGACTAGTGTGTCCAGTTCATTCCTACCAAGATTGCCACTCTCTAAGGGAGCCTTGTCCAGAAAAAAAAATTAATTTTAGGTGTGTCAGGTGAGACGCCAAGAAGACACATAAAAAAAAATAGTATAAGTAGTTTTATTACTTAAAGATTCCAGAGAGAAGAGGGCAACTTGCCTCACAGGCCTAATGGGAGAAAGGGCATCCCTTAGAGACATGCATGTGCAACCAGTGGGTGGGTAGCGAGAGAGAGTGAGTGACAGACCAGAAAGCCAAAGCCCTTATTGGAGTACACAGCATTATCCAAGCAGGGAGTAACTGATTGCTGGGTTTAGAGCAAGCAGGCATGATTTCTTGGGAGTTAAGTTGTATTGAGAGGTGTTCACTGCTGCAAATCTGCAGTCCATGTGGGGTGTGGGGATCAGTGGGATAAGTCAAGTAGGTTGTATCTAGGTGTCCCACACGGAGGTGGTAACCAAGAGGCCAAATATCTGGATTGACCACCTGAAGAAACTGGGAGAGGAGAACTCAAAATTGTGATAAGGGTGACTAAGTCCTGCTTCTGGCATGAGGAAGTTCAATTATATATTGAAAATGAACGCTGAGGTAACATAAACTCATAAGAATTCACTACAGATATCTGCACTACCATGTTCATTGTAGCATTTTTCACAATAGCTGAGGTATGAAAGGAACCTAAATGTCCATCAACGGATAAACAGATAAATATATAAAAGGGATATAATGTGATATATATGAACCACATTATCTATATAAAATGGAATACTATTCAGCCTTAAAGAAAAAAGGGAAATTCTGTCTTTACAACAACATTCATGAACCTGCAGGACATTATGCGAAGTGAAAGAAGCCAGACACAGAAGGACAAATACCACATGATCTCACTCTTATGTGGAATCTAAAAAAGATAAACTCATACAAGTGGAGAGTAGAATGATAGCTACCTGGGGGGCAGGGGATGGAGAAAGGGGGGATTTTAAACAAGTAGATTTAAATGTTCTCACTATAAGAAAAATAAGTATGTGAGGTGATGACTGTGTTAGCTGGACTTAATCATTCCATATTGCACATATACATATATCAAAAGATCACATTGTATCTAATCAATATATAAAATTATTTGTCAATTAAAATAATAAAAGATTGGAGTAATATTTAAGATTTTTTTAACATTTTGCAGGAAAAATCTTGGAATTGAATTTAAAAGACAACTGGGAAGGCATAAATAATATAGGTCAGTCTCAAAGAGCCCCTCATTAATAAGGAACAGATATGCAGTTTAGTCTTTATGTATTCTAGTTTTTCTGTTGAATGACTCTCAAATCTCTCCTTTTTTTCCAGTTGTCTTGTACATTTGAGCCTTAGCCCCACGGGAAACTGAAAAAAAAAATCGGACGGCTCAGTAAAACCTCTTCCTTTCATTGTAAATGTTACTCACAGCATCTTTTCCCATGTTTGTTGGTGACAAATTCACTGTCATCTCAGTAAGAGTATAACATCATGCTGAAGATATTTCTGTGAAGAGTTTTGTACTGAGAACATCATACCAGGACAACTCCTTGAAGGGCATTAATTGCAGCTTTGGGATTTATACTCCCAAAGGCTGCAGTCAATGAAAGAGTATCCCGTTATTCTTTTTGTTTCCATAAAGATTACATTTGCTCTGGGATAAAGGGTCCATCCCGTGATACCTTGAATGCCCTAAAGTATTCCCACATTCTGCTAAAAAGCAGATCTTTTGGACAAACTCAGGCTCTCTTTTCTGTAGCAATGACAATCACAGTTATTTCCAGACTCTGTTCTTCATAGTTAGATTTAAAACATTGGCAAAAATGTTATAAGAAGGCAATTAGGTTGATGTTTTTAGGTTGTATGGCAACCAGAGAGCCCCTTCATCAGTTTATACCTGATGAGGTTGTAGGCCAGGTAGAGAGTGACAGGGAACAGGGACAAACACAGGAAGGTCAGTACTGAAAGAAGTTGGTGCACTTCTTAAGGGGTAGACAGCTTCCATATTTCAAAATTGCAGAAAGTGTAGATTTTAAATGTTCTTACTACAAAAATATGATGGTTGTGGGGTGATGGATATGTTAACTAGCTTAATATAATCATTCTATAATGTATATATACATCAAAACATTACAGTGTACTCCATAAATATATACAATTATTACTAGTCAATGAAAAATTAAGAAAACAAACCAGATATAGTATAAAGGAATGGATGTGACACAAATTGGCATAATGTCTCTTAATAATAATTGGGGAAGGAAGAGACACTCAGCCATCCATTTTCCCTATAGTATTTGATTTAAAAAAAGAGAGAAGATATTTTATTCTACAACTCATAAAAGCTACATTTGATAGGGTCTTCATTTCCCTCTTTTCCACCAAGAAGAAAATTGAAGCTGAGACTTTTCTCTACATGAGTTCTGGGGGTTTTTTTGTCCCTTATTTCCTATCCCTTTTATCAACTCCGGAGGAATGCTGAAAGATGGGTCATATAACAGATAGTTATCAGATTCCACCTTTTAATTACTGTAATAAGGAACTCAGGCAGCTGCATTAGGAAAGAAAATTAGGTCGGCATCAGCAAAAGTATCCACAGCATTTGAGTTCAAGTATCTTATGGCATATTACCTTTCATCTTAGGGAGATTTAAAAAAATCCTTGGAATTTTCCCATGATTTCTCAAAAGGTTAATGCTCATTCCATTACCAACAATATGGAAAAATGTACAGTATCTTTGTACCAGTCTGGAGCATTTGCACAGATTTGGCCCAAGTTCAATGTTCCTAGCTCTCCAGCTGTAACTCAACCAGTTAGGCAACTCCTTACATCTTTTTCAAGAGTCAAGATTACAATATTTGAGTTATTAAAAGTTTTTCAAAACACTGAAGGTGAGTCGGGTGTAGATATTAGTTTTTTGAGACAGAGTCTTGCTCTGTCACCCAGGCTGGAGGGCAATGGCATGATCTCAGCTCACTGCAACCTCCGCCTCCTGGGTTCAAGCGATTCTCCTGCCTCAGCCTCCAGAGTAGCTGGTATTACAGGTGCCCACTACCATGCCTGCCTGGCTAATTTTTGTATTTTTTAGTAGAGATGGTGTTTCACCACGTTGGTCAGGCTGGTCTCGAACTCCTGACCTCAGGTGTTCCACCTGCCTCGGCCTCCCAAAATGCTGAGATTACAGGCATGAGCCACCACGCCTGGCCTCTTTTGCCAAATTTATCAGAGAGTATAAGAGGAAGAGTTGGCTGTGGCAGGAGGGGAGCAGAAGGGGGATGGCAAAACTATTTAGGAATATTGAAATGCTGGGTTCCTGTATTTTATTGCAAAAACTATATCATAAAAGAGTGTTTATCTTTCTCATGCAAGATTGGTAATGTGCAAGAGAAAATAAGCAACTGAAAATCAAGCTATCAAAGCATATTTGAATTTCTTCATTTTAAAAAAATAACTACAAGGTGAATTTTCTGGATTTTATACAATGTTCACGTATCTTTCTACTAATATTAGTTAATGTCTGTTCAGAAGCTCCATTAAAAATTGTGGAAAACCCAGAAAATACAAATTATAAATTGTGACTCAGAATTTAAAGTATAGTTCAGTTATTGGCCTAAAGCATATACAGTTTTGTAGAAACCATGTTTAAGTCTTCTTGTCCTTGTCTAACAAACTTGTTATACATTCTTTCAACTTCGCATACCACATTCAGACCTCTCTTCACTGTTGTGCATCCAAACACTCTCCATTTCTCTCTTACCAACCTATGTTTTTGTTAGACTCTGTAATCTTTATGTCTTCCAGTAATATAGTCTCATTTACCTTTGGAAGCATTCTATCACCGATCACTCTATTTTGCTGTATTAATCAGCTTTGTGTATATTGTGAATTTTTATAAGTTGGTGTGTGCGTGCATATTCTCTTTAAACTTTGATTTGTGCATTATTTTATTTGTCTAGAAATAAACTGCTAGCATAAATAGCATTTGATTCTTTCTATAATCATATTCAATTATTTCTTTTCAGTTAATATTTTAAAGTGACTATCTAATTGCTTTTTAATATGGGAAATTCCTATCTATAAGTAAGATCAGTAAGACTGCTGTTATTCCTTTCTCTGTAATTGCAAAATTGGAAATAGCCTGAAAATATAAAAATAATTTGACTTTTTAAAGTAAAAAATCATTTTTCATAAATATTGTGTTCCTGATTATGGACTATCTTAGTCTTCATTAATCCAAATGTTAATTCAGGGATGTATATAAAGAACTCAGTAACTTGAGAAGCTATTGCTTGTATCTGTAGCTGGATAAATATCTCAATGAAGCATATAAAGGGAACTGTATAAAAATTCTACTACCATTATGGTGCACACTCTCTGGAAGTGGGATACTTTTGTCTTCAATCTGTTTGCAAGTGAGCGGTTGACAATGCATGGACAGACTTTGAGTTTATGTGGTTCTTTTTTTAGGTATAAGAAAAAGATGAATGATGATTAAAAAAAATGCAAGTTCGGAAGACTTCTTTATTCTACTTGGATTTTCTAATTGGCCTCAGCTGGAAGTAGTTCTCTTTGTGGTTATCTTGATCTTCTACCTGATGACACTGACAGGAAACCTGTTCATCATCATCCTGTCATACGTGGACTCCCATCTCCACACACCAATGTACTTCTTCCTTTCAAACCTCTCATTTCTGGATCTCTGCCACACCACCAGCTCTATCCCTCAGTTGCTGGTGAATCTCCGGGGCCCGGAAAAGACCATCTCGTATGCTGGTTGCATGGTTCAACTTTACTTTGTTCTTGCACTGGGAATCGCAGAGTGTGTCCTACTGGTGGTGATGTCGTATGATCGTTATGTAGCTGTGTGTAGACCTTTGCATTACACTGTCCTCATGCACCCTCGTTTCTGCCACTTGTTGGCTGCGGCTTCTTGGGTAATTGGTTTTACTATCTCAGCACTTCATTCCTCCTTTACTTTCTGGGTACCCCTTTGTGGACATCGCCTAGTGGATCACTTCTTCTGTGAAGTTCCAGCACTTCTGCGTTTATCATGTGTTGACACCCATGCAAATGAGCTGACCCTCATGGTCATGAGCTCCATTTTTGTTCTCATACCTCTCATTCTGATTCTCACTGCCTATGGTGCCATTGCCCGGGCTGTACTGAGCATGCAATCAACCACTGGGCTTCAGAAAGTGTTTAGGACATGTGGAGCCCATCTTATGGTTGTATCTCTCTTTTTCATTCCAGTCATGTGCATGTATCTCCAGCCACCATCAGAAAATTCTCCTGATCAGGGCAAGTTCATTGCCCTCTTTTATACTGTTGTCACACCGAGTCTTAATCCTCTAATCTACACTCTCAGAAACAAGCATGTAAAAGGGGCAGCGAAGAGACTATTGGGGTGGGAGTGGGGGAAGTGACAGGGAAATCATGTTGTCTGTTGTCATTGTTTTTCCTAGGGTCTTAGCCATCTTGAAAGGTGGTTTCCCTGCTTCTTTGTGATTTATTTTTGTTCTAACAGCTCACAAAACAGAATAGTTCAGTATCACATTTGTTGCTCTTTTTATTATTTAGTTCTGAAATATTATGTTGAGATAAAGTTTCTGATTAGTGCCACTTTGTTCTTTTACAATTGTATATTTTATTTCTGTGAAAATTGTGGACTGTGGTTTCAACGTAAATAAATGTGCATGCGAATAGTTATGAGGAGATTATTTCAAAAATGTTGGGAATATTTCTAACAATGTGCTAAATTATGAACTGATGATATATACAGAAAGAGAAGGGCAATATTGCAAAGACTTAGGCTAAAAAGGTTTTTGGTTATTGAATAAACCTTAAATGAAGCTAAAAATAGTCACAGCAAAGAAAAATGGTAAACATAATGAATAACATTGTTTAAGATATGGTAAAGGATATATCATAAGTATTTGGTTGAAAGACACTTTTTAAAGACACTAAATTATCTAATTTATCCTGTAGGTCTACATACTTGTCACATTGAACAGTAAACTAATATCTCTTTAAAATGGCTCTTTCGTTCATCTGTCCATTTATTCATTAACTTATTCTTTATTAGCTAAATCTTATTGAATGTGTACTCTCTTCCAGTTTGTGAAATTCTTGGTAACGTGTATAAATATAACATACTCTGTCTGAACAGAACACACTCTCTGTCAGGAAAAATGGCAACATAAAAGATGAAGTATCTGTGCATGGCTTAATTTGTCACTGGGGGTAATGCTAATACATTAAGACAGCTTTTAAAAGTCAGAAACAATAAACTCTGATTACTCTTCAGATTGTATAAATCTTTCACTTTTTAAAAATCAAAAACAAGGCCGAGCACGGTGGCTCACACCTGTAATCCCAGCACTTTGGAAGGCCGAGTCAGGTGGATCATGAGGTCAGGAGACCAAGACCATCCTGGCTAACAAGGTGAAACCCCATCTCTACTAAAAATACAAAACAATTAGCTAGGCATGGTGGCACATGCCTGTAGTCCCATTGAAGCTAAACTTTTTTTTCACTTTACATGAACATTTTGAAATCACTACTAAATTCAATATTTTCAACATATTATTTCATCCGTATGTAAAATTATTGGGATTGCAATTGTTATGTTTTCTATAATCACATTTTTGAAAATAACCTGAAAATGCTGAAAAGAAAAGTTCCTTATTCATTAACAAAGAAAAATTTTGTGTTTTATGGAAATTATCTTCCTTAGCTAGGTTAGAAATTTCTTTCAATTACCATTTACCTAGAAGTCACCATAAAATGAATGGGAAGAACTCGATAGTTATTCTTCTATAAGGCAAATATATGAATAAAATATAAAATTAAAAAATTGTTTTCTATTTTTTGTGACTTTTTATTATGGTAAAATTTCAAACTTAGAGAAGAATTGCAAAAAAGTAGTACAAAGACTGACATTTACCCTATAACCAGATTAAGCATTAGTTTACATTTTCCCCCAAAGCTTTGTTATATCATCTATCTATCTATCTATCTATCTATCTATCTATCTATATCTCTATCATCTATTATATCTATCTATCTATCTATCTATCTATCTATCTATCTATCTATCATCTATCTCTTTTTCTGCACTAGCTGAGAGTAAGTTGGAGATGCCACGTACCTTTACACCAAGTACTTTTTTTTTTAATTATTAGGTCATTTTTATTCCTTTTAAATTTTCTATTTTGTGTTAATTATTTGTCTGCATTCTATGTACATAACTGTATTGGAGTTTCAGTTTCATATTAAGTTGTATAAACTTTTGTGTTCCAAGGTTATACAAATTCATATGTATTTTCTTAGTTCATTGCCTCTTATTTTGGTTTGTTACAATTTGTGATGTTAAAAGTCTAAAAATGTGTGCGTGGTTAATACTATCTATTGTTCATTAACATTGTGGTTTCTTCCTTTTCTTAATGCTATAATGTTCTTTTATTATAATTATTATTATTATACTTTAAGTTCTACGGTACTTGTGCACAACCTGCAGGTTTATTACATATGTATACATGTGCCATGTTGCTGTGCTGCACCCATTAACTCGTCATTTACATTAGGTATATCTCCTCATGCTATCCCTCCCCCCACCACACAACAGGCCCCGGTGTGTGATGTTCCCCTTCCTGTGTCCAAATGTTCTCATTGCTCAATTCCCACTCATGAGTGAGAACATGCGGTGTTTGGTTTTTTGTCCTTGGGATAGTTTGCTGAGAATGATGGTTTCCAGCTTCATCCATGTCCCTACATGGACATGAACTCATCATTTTTTATGGCTGCATAGTATTCCATGGTGTATATGTGCCACATTTTCTTAATCCACTCTATCATTGTTGGACATTTGGGTTGGTTCCAAGTCTTTGCTGTTGTGAATAGTGCCGTAATAAACATACGTGTGCATGTGTCTTTCTAGCAGCATGATTTATAATCCTTTGGGTATATACCCAGTAATGGGATGGCTGGGTCAAATGGTATTTCTAGTTCTAGATCCCTGAGGAATCACCACACTGACTTCCACAATGGTTGAACTAGTTTACAGTCCCACCAACAGTGTAAAAGTGTTCCTATTTCTCCACATCCTGTCCAGCACCTGTTGTTTCCTGACTTTTTAATGATTGCCATTCTAACTGGTGTGAGGTGGTATCTCATTGTGGTTTTGATTTGCATTTCTCTGATGGCCAGTGATGGTGAGCATCTTTTCATGTGTTTTTTGGCTGCATAAATGTCTTCTTTTGAGAAGTGTCTGTTCATGTCCTTCGTCCACTTTTTGATGGGGCTGTTTGTTCTTTTCTTGTAAATTTGTTTGAGTTCATTGTAGATTCTGGATATTAGCCCTTTGTCAGATGAGTAGCTTGCAAAAATTTTCTCCCATTCTGTAGGTTGCCTATTCACTCTGATGGTAGTTTCTTTTGCTGTGCAGAAACTCTTTAGTTTAATTAGATCCCATTTGTCAATTTTGGCTTTTGTTGCCATTGCTTTTGGTGTTTTAGACATGAAGTCCTTGCCCATGCCTATGTCCTGAATGGTATTGACTAGGTTTTGTTCTAGGGTTTTTATGGTTTTAGGTCTAACATTGAAGTCTTTAATCCATCTTGAATTAATTTTTGTATAAGGTGTAAGGAAGGGATCCAGTTTCGGCTTTCTACATATAGCTAGCCAGTTTTCCCAGCAGCATTTGTTAAATAGGGAATCCTTTCCCCATTTCTTGTTTTTTTCAGGTTTGTCAAAGATCAGATACTTGTAGATGTGTGGTATTATTTCTGAGGGCTGTATTCTGTTCCATTGGTCTATATCTCTGTTTTGGTACCAGTACCATGCTGTTTTGGTTACTGTAGCCTTGTAGTATAGTTTGAAGTCAGGTAGCGTGATGCCTCCAGCTTTGTTCTTTTGGGTTAGGATTGGCTTGGCAATGCGGGCTCTTTTTTGGTTCCATATGAACTTTAAAGCAGTTTTTTCCAATTCTGTGAAGAAAGTCATTGGTAGCTTGATGGGGATCGCACCGAATCTATAAATTACCTTGGGCAGTATGGCCATTTTCGCGATATTGATTCTTCCTATCCATGAGCATGGAATGTTCTTCCATTTGTTTGTATCCTCTTTTATTTCATTGAGCAGTGGTTTGTAGTTCTCCTTGAAGAGGTCCTTCACATCCCTTGTAAGTTGGATTCCTAGGTATTTGATTCTCTTTGAAGCAATTGTGAATGGGAGTTCACTCATGATTTGGCTCTCTGTTTGCCTGTTATTGGTGTATAAGAATGTTTGTGATTTTCGCACATTGATTTTGTATCCTGAGCCTTTGCTGAAGTTGCTTATCAACTTAAGGAGATTTTGGGCTGAGATGATGGGGTTTTCTAGATATACAATCATGTCATCTGCAAACAGGGACAATTTGACTTCCTCTTTTCCTAATTGAATACCCTTTATTTCTTTCTCCTGCCTGATTGCCCTGGCCAGAACTTCCAACACTATGTTGAATAGGAGTGGTGAGAGAGGGCATCCCTGTCTTGTGCCAGTTATCAAAGGGAATGCTTCCAGTTTTTGCCCATTCAGTATGATATTGGCTGTGGTTTTGTCATAAATAGCTCTTATTATTTTGAGATACGTTCCATCAATACCTAGTTTATTGAGAGTTTTTAGCATGAAGGGCTGTTGAATTTTGTCAAAGCCCTTTTCTGCATCTATTGAGATAATCATGTGGTTTTTGTCTTTTGTTCTGCTGGATTATGTTTATTGATTTGCGTACGTTGAACCAGGCTTGCATCCCAGGGATGAAGCCCACTTGATCATGGTGAATAAGCTTTTTGATGTGCTGCTGGATTCGGTTTGCCAGTATTTTATTGAGGATTTTTGCATCGAGGTTCATCAGGGATGTTGGTCTAAAATTCTTTTTTTGTTGTGTCTCTGCCAGGCTTTGGTATCAGGATGATGCTGACCTCATAAAATGAGTTAGGGAGGATTCCCTCTTTTTCTATTGATTGGAGTAGTTTCAGAAGGAATGGTACCAGCTCCTCCTTGTACCTCTGGTAGAATTCGGCTGTGAATCCGTCTGGTCCTGGACTTTTTTTTGGTTGGTAAGCTACTAATTATTGCCTCAATTTCAGAGCCTGTTATTTGGTCTATTCAGAGATTCAACTTCTTCCTGGTTTAGTCTTGGGAGGGTGTATGTGTCGAGGAATTTATCCATTTCTTCTAGATTTTCTAGTTTATTTGCATAGAGGTGTTTATAGTATTCTCTGATGGTAGTTTGTGTTTCTGTGGGATCGGTGGTGATATCCCCTTTATCATTTTTTGTTGTGTCTATTTGATTCTTCTCTCTTTTCTTCTTTATTAGTCTTGCTAGCAGTCTATCAATTTTGTTGATCTTTCAAAAAACCAGCTCCTGGATTCATTGATTTTTTGAATGGTTTTTTGTGTGTCTATCTCCTTCAGTTCTGCTCTGATCTTAGTTATTTCTTGCCTTCTGCTAGCTTTTGAATGTGTTTGCTCTTACTTCTCTAGTTCTTTTAATTATGATGTTAGGGTGTCAGTTTTAGATCTTTCCTGCTTTCTCTTGTGGACATTCAGTGTTATAAATTTCCCTCTACACACTGCTTTAAATGTGTCCCAGAGATTCTGGTATGTTGTATCTTTGTTCTCGCTGGTTTCAAAGAACATCTTTATTTCTGCCTTCATTTCGTTATGTACCAGTAGTCATTCAGGAGCAGGTTGTTCAGTTTCCATGTAGTTGAGTGGTTTTGAGTGAGTTTCTTAATCCTGAGTTGTAGTTTGATGGCACTGTGGTCTGAGAGACAGTTTGTTATAATTTCTGTTCTTTTACATTTGCTGAGGAGTGCTTTTCTTCCAGCTATGTGGTCAATTTTGGAATAAGTGTGATGTGGTACTGAGAAGAATGTATATTCTGTTGATTTGGGGTGGAGAGTTCTGTAGATGTCTATTAGGACCGCTTGGTGCAGAGCTGAGTTCAATTCCTGGATATCCTTGTTAACTTTCTGTCTTGTTGATCTGTCTATTGTTGACAGTGGGGTGTTAAAGTCTCCCATTATTATTGTGTGGGAGTCTAAGTCTCTTTGTAGGTCTCTAAGGACTTGTTGTATGAATCTGGGTGCTCTTGTATTGGGTGCATGTATATTTAGGATAGTTAGCTCTTCTTGTTGAATTGATCCCTTTACCATTATGTAATGGCCTTCTTTGTCTCTTTTGATCTTTGTTGGTTTAAAGTCTATTTTATCAGAGACTAGGATTGCAACCCCTCCCTTTTTTTGTTTTCCATTTGCTTGGTAGATCTTCCTCCATCCCTTTATCTTGAACCTATGTGTGTCTCTGCATGTGAGATGGGTTTCCTGAATACAGCACACTGATGGGTCTTGACCCTTTATCCAATTTGCCAGTCTGTGTCTTTTAATTGGAGCATTTAGCCCATTCAAGACATTTACACCAAATATTTTATTCAATGTTTCTTGTCTAAGAAGAAGGATGTTATTTTACATAAGTCCTGCACAGTACCCAAATCAGCAAATTTAATATGGGCACAATATTATTATCTAATCCATAGTCCACAGTGAGATTTCTTAAATAGTCCCAATAATTTTGTTAATAGCCACTTTTTAAAAAAATCCCAGATGATACACTGAGAAATCACATCTCACTAGTCTCCTTCCATCTGGACCAGTGCCACCGCCTTTGTTTGTCTACTTAAACTTGATACTTTTGAATTGTACAGGCAAACTATTTCTCTCAATTAGAGTTTTTCTCATGTGTCTTCATTATTAGAATTAGTCTGTGTATTTTTAACATAAATATCACTGAGGTGACATCATGCCCTGTTCAGAGCAGCATCTCAGCAGTCTCATGATGTTGGTTTGTACAAATACAGGTGATCTTAAGATCAATAAAATCACTTGGTTATGTTGGTGTCTGCCAGGTTTTTCTACTGTAAACTTCACTGTTTTTCAGTTTGAAATTAACAAGAAAGTTGTGAGGAGATATTTTAGACTATGTACATGTCCTGTTCCCCATCAAATTTTTATCCACTAGTTTTGCAATCATTTATGTTTTTCTTAACACCATCATCCCTTCTATGTTTATTAATTAGGGATCTACTGTTAGGAATGGCTTTTTCTTCACCATTCATTTATTTACTCTTACTTTTTATATCAGTACGAGCTTTATAATTCTTCTTTTGTTAAGTTCATTACTACTAATGGTTAAATTGTCCTACAATTAAATGATGGCAAGCCCTTCAAACTGGATTTTATTTTTTTTACGTATCCTGATGTTTTTTGGAGCATTTGTTTACTGCTTTTTGAGTTTACCTGATTTTTTTTTTCTCTCAGGTAATAGGAAATGAATGATGATGGAAAAGTCAATGCTAGCTCTGAGGGGTACTTTATTTTAGTTGGATTTTCTAATTGGCCTTATCTGGAAGTAGTTCTCTTTGTGGTTATTTTGATCTTCTGCTTGATGACACTGATAGGAAACCTGTTCATCATCATCCTGACGTACCTGGACTCCCATCTCCATACTCCCTTGTATTTCTTCCTTTCAAATCTCTCATTTCTGGATCTCTGCTACACCACCAGCTCTATCCCTCAGTTGCTGGTCAGTCTCTGGGGTGTGGAAAAGACCATTTCTTATGCTGGTTGCATGGTTCAACTTTACTTTTTTCTCACACTGGGAACCACAGAGTGTGTCCTACTGGTGGTGATGTCCTATGACCGTTATGCAGCTGTGTGTAGACCTTTGCATTACACTGTCCTCATGCACTCTCGTTTCTGCCACTTGTTGGCTGTGGCTTCTTGGGTAAGTGGTTTTACAAACCCAGCACTTCATTCCTCCTTCACCTTCTGGGTACCTCTGTGTGGACACCGCCAAATAGATCACTTTTTCTGTGAAGTTCCGGCACTTTTATGATTATCATTTGTCAATACCCGTGAAAATAAACTGACCCTCATGATCACAAGCTCCATTTTTGTTCTGCTACTTCTCACCCTCATTTTCACTTCCTATGGTGCTATTGCCCAGGCTGTACTGAGGATGCAGTCAACCACTGGGCTTCAGAAAGTATTTGGAACATGTGGAGCTCATCATATGGTTGTATCTCTCTTTTTCATTCCGGCCATGTGCATGTATCTCCAGCCACCATCAGGGAATTCTCAAGATCAAGGCAAGTTCATTGCTCTCTTTTATACTGTTGTTACACCTAGTCTTAACCCTCTAATCTACACCCTCAGAAACAAAGATGTAAGAGGGGTAGTGAAGAGACTAAGGGGGTGGGAGTGAGCCTGTGTTTGTGTGATATTAACAATATAATGGAGTCTTTCCTCACAATGATTCATCCATCTGTTCATTTATCAACCATTCTTTTATTCACTCACTCTGTTAGCACTTGCTGAGCATGTACTCTAACAAAGTCGTGGAGATCCTGGTAACAGGTAGGAATAAAACACATTCAGCTTAAATACCATTCACTTTTGGAGAAAACAGCTGTGTAAAATCAAGATAAAACATCTATAGTGATGTTTTTCCATGGCACAAACCTAATGAATACAAGAAAGACTTTTCCTGATTAAAAATAAGGCATGAAATTTGTTGTAAATATTGATAAAAGTGAAGTTATAATTCCTATGAAAAGATGATACTCTCAATTTTAAAATATCTAGAATATGTCTTTTAATTTTTTGCTGTTTAGGCAGAATACTTTTGTCTTCTATCTTTAGTTTAGTTGAATACACAGCAAAATACTTCAAATCCTTTCCTCCAACACTACTTATTTTTTGTTGGATGTAAATTTTGAGAGGAATTTTGGTCCATATTCTTTGATATCCAATATCAATAGTAAGACAATAAGTTTTATAAATTGTAGCAAGAGAGATGTTGAAGCAGTGTAGCAGAAGTCGGCGTCCAAGATCCCTCTTTTTTACAAGGCAGTGAGAAGGATATTGGAGGTGAAAGGAGCTGGTAAAGCTGACCTATGTAGCTTATAAAGAAATGGTCATCACCGTCTAGGTATACTTAGGTGAGGTAAGTGCTTGGAGCAACTGCATTACCTAAAGAGCTATGGAGAACATTTGAGGCAAATAGAGAGGCTCTGAAAATGACTTGAAGTCAATGGGTGTATAAAAGAATTATGTTTAAATATACTGGAAAATTTTTATGATAAAAGCTGTTATATGGAAAATGTTAGTTTATTTTTATTTTTAAGCTTGTTCTAATTTGAATATTTATAGTTAATAAGTATATTAGGAATATCAATATATGGTTTCAAATAAATATATTTTATAGAAGTTATCATTTTGTTCTATATATTATTGTCAACCATCTTCATCTGAAATAATTGCGTTATACCTAGAGCAATTTAAACTGACAGTCGTAGTCAAATGATGTGGAAAAATGACTAAAGGAGAATTCAGTATAATGTAACGTACTTGCAATGCCTGAGTTTTCTCTATAACTGGAATGTCAGCTGTAGCTTTTGAGGCCTGTGAGATTTGGATGTGATTGATTCACACACTATTTCCTAAATTATAAAAATAAAAATGCATCTCGGAACTTCCCTCCAATTTCTAGTGTGACTTGCAATTGCATTGATTCTGCTGACTTTATCTTCTTTCTGCATCTGTGACTCTTCCTTTATTTCTAACTAGGCATGAAAAATATGAGTCATTTGCCCTTGTCCTTAAGCTTACCCAAGAAATGAAGAACCAAGAATAGTGTATGTAAAATAACTTTTAGTAAACAATTGAGACCACTTAGGGTAAAACATCACATAAAAACAAATTTTTTAAAACTTAAAGAACATAGCTTAGCTCTTTGAACTATTTCCTACTATGGAAATCTTACGATTTGTAACACTTCCTGTAGCATCCTGGTTTCTCACCTACTCAAATATCCTCTCCATCTTTATTAAGTGAAAAGTTGTATTTATTTATGATATACAGCATAAAGTTTTGATATATGTATAATTATGCAATTATTATTCAAGCTAATTAACAAATCATTAACTCACATACTTACCTGTTTTGTGGTGAGAACATTTAGGATCTGTTATCTTAGCAATTTTCAAGTATGCAGTACAGTTTTATTAACTATAGTCACCATACTATAGAATAGATCTCTTGAATTTATTCCTTCTAACTGAAACTTTGTACCCTTTGACCAGCATCTCCCCATTTTCCCTCCCTCCACTGCTAACCCCTGACAAGCCTCATTCTACTACTTTGTGCTTCTATGAGTTCATTTTATGTAGATTTCACACATTAGATCGTGCAGTATTTATTTTTCTGTGCCTGGCTCATTTTACTTAGCAAAGTGTCCTCAGGTTTGCCATGTGTTTGAAAATATTAGGACTTCCTTCTTATTTTAAGGCAGAATAGTATTCTATTGTATATAAACTACACTTTTTAAATTCACTCATTCATTGATTGACTCTTAGATTGATTCAATACTTTGGCTATTATGAATTTGCTGCCATATTCATGGAAGTGGAGATAGCTCTTCAACATAGTGATTTAATTCTTTTGGATATAAACCCAGAAGTGTGATTGATGGATCATATGGCAGTTCTATTTTTATTTATTATTAATTAATTAATTAATTAATTTTTTGAGACAGAGTCTCGCTCTGTCGCCCAGGCTGGAGTGCAGTGGTGGGATCTCGGCTTACTGCAACTCCCACCTCCTGGGTTCTAGCGATTGTCTTGCCTCAGCCTCCAGAGTAGCTGGGACTACAGGTAAGCACCACCACGCCCAGCTAATTTCTGTATTTTTAGTAGAGACAGGATTTCTTGTGTGTGTGTGTGTGTGTGTGTGTGTGTGTGTGTGTGTGTGTCCTAGCAAATCTTTAATTACCCTAAGGCCGATGTAGTTTCTCGTATAAGTTCTTATGAAATCTTTTATTTTTCATTATTTTTATGTTTATTTTACTTTAAGTTCTCGGATACATGTGCAGAATGTGCAAATTTGTTACATAGGTATACATGTGCCATAGTGGTTTGCTGCACCTATCAACCTGTCATCTAGGTTTTAAGCCCCACATGCATTAGATATTTGTCCTAATGCTCTCCCTCTCCTTCCCCCTGAACCCGTGACAGGCCCCAGTGTGTGATGTTGCCCTCCCTGTGTCCATGTGTTCTCATTGTTTAACTACCGCTTATGAGTGAGAACATGCAGTGTTTAGTTTTCTGTTCCTGTGTTATTTTGCTGAAAATAATGGTTTCCAGCTTCATCCATGTCCCTGCAAAGGACATGAACTCATTCTTTTTTATGGCTGCATAGTATTCCATGGTGTATATGTGCCACATTTTCTTCATCCAGTCTATTATTGATGGGCATTTGGGTTGGTTCCAAGTCTTTCCTATTGTAAATGGTGCTGCAATAAACATACATGTGCATGTGTCTTTATAGTAGAATGATTTATAATCCTTTGGATATATACGCACTCATGGGATTGCTGGGTCAAATGGTATTGCTGGTTCTAGATCCTTGAGGAATCGCCACACTGTCTTCCACAATGGATGAACTAATTTACTCTCCCACCAACAGTGTAAAAGCATTCCTATTTCTCCACAGACTCGCCAGCATCTGTTGTCTCCTGACATTTTAATAATTGCCATTCTAACTAGTGTGAGATGGTATCTCGTGGTTTTGATTTGCATTTCTCGAATGACCAGTGATGACGAGCTATTTTTCATGTGTTTGTTGGCTCCATAAATGCCTTCTTTTGAGAAGTTTCTATTTATATCCTTTGCTCACTTTTTGATGGGGTTGTTTGTTTTATTTTCATAAATTTGTTTAAGTTCCTCATATATTCTGGATATTAGACTTTTGTCAGATGCATAGATTGCAAAAATTTTGTCCCATTCTGTAGGTTGCCTGTTCACTCTGATGGTAGTTTCTTTTGCTGTGCAGCAGCTCTTCAGTTTAATTAGATCCCATTTGTCAATTTTGTCTTTTGTTGCCGTTGCTTTTGGTGTTTTAGTCATGAAGTCTTTGCCCATGCCTATATCCTGAATGGTATTGCCTAGGTTCTTTTCTAGGGTTTATATGGTTTTGGGTTCTACATTTAAGTCTTTAAGCTATCTTGAGTTAATTTTTGCCTAAGGTATAAGGAAGGGGTCCAGTATCAGTTTTCTGCATATGGCTAGCCAGTTTTCCCACCACCATTTGTTAAACAGAGAATCCTTTCCCCATTGCTTGTTTCTGGTAGAGATGGGATTTCACCATGTTGGCCAGGCTGGTCTCAAACTCCTGACCTCAGGTGATCTGCCGACCTCGGCCTCCCAAAGTGTTGGAATTACAGGCATAAGCCACTGCGCCTGGCCCTATTTTAAATTTATTTAGGAAACTTCATAGTGTTTTCCCTCATGGCTGTCCTAATTTACATTTCAAAAAACAATGTAACAATGTATAAGAATTCTCTTTTCTCCATATTCTTCCCACCACCTGTTGTCCTTTGTGTTTTTCATAATAGATCTAACTGGTGTGAGGTATGAGGTGATAGCTACTGGTGTGGGCCTGAACTTTAGGTCCAGTGGAACCTAGAGTGGTGGGGATCAACCTGAAGCCTGGAACTGGCCTGGTTCTAGAGTGGAACTTGCTGCCTTAGGGGCTTGTCTGGAGCCTGGGTTTATGGGGCCCAGCTTATATGTGCTGGTCTGGAGGCTAGGCCCTTGGGTACTGGCATGGATCTTGGGACTACAGAGTCTGACCTAGGGGGCCAACTGGCACTGGAAAGTCCTATTTTGCCGTTTTATTGATATCACTTCTCACTCTTTAAATTTTTTTTGGCTTTTTAATTTTCTGGGCTCTTTTCTCCTTCTTCTCTTACAAAATATATACATTTTCTTTTATATGTGTAGACTTTTTGTTTTCTTTTGGGAGGTTATGTTGGGAACAGGCCCCCAAATCTGGCCATAAACTGGCCCCAAAACTGGCCATAAACAAAATCTCTGCAGCCCTGTGACATGTTTGTGATGGCCATGATGCCCATGCTGAAGGTTGTGGGTTTACCAGAATGAGGGCAAGGAACACCTGGCCCACCCAGGGCAGAAAACCGCTTAAAGGCATTCCTAAATCACAAACAATAGCATGAGTGATCTGTGCCTTAAGGACATGTTTCTGCTGCAGATAACTAGACAGAGCCCATCCCTTTGTTTCGGCCCATCCCTTTGTTTCCCTTAAGGAATACTTTTAGTTAATCTATAATCTATAGAAATAATGCTTATCACTGGCTTCGTGTCAATCAATATGTGGGTCAAACTCTGTTCAGGGCTCTCAGCTCTGAAGGCTGTGAGTGCCCTGATTTCCCACTCCATACTCTATATTTCTGTGTGTGTGTCTTTAATTCCTCTAGTGCCGCTGGGTTAGCATCTCCATGATCGAGGTGGTCTTGGCAAGGTTATAATTATAGGATATCTAATATTGAATCCTAGTCATATTAACCTGTGCTATTTAATTTGTAATCTGAAAGTGATCAGTTACTAATAATTCCCCCAAAGTGTAACACAGATATTATTGTTTTTATTGTTTTGTACTTTTCAAACCAGTCAAGCAAACTTTATGCAGCAGAACAACAAGAATGAGTTCTCTCACTTTATCAAACTGAAGGGAGGAGATAGGTGCTTGCATAAGCTCTGGCAACTTGTATATGAAAAAATCAGGGTAAGGACAATACATTTTTAGCTCTGACGACCTGTTCCTATGTCAACAACACTGAAGGCAAAGTAGAAGCCCTGAGATGCTCCCCTTGTCAGGCCTAAACCTCATGTCAACGTTTGTGAACTGGGATTTCCAAAGCAGAAATGAATTTATGCGGCAAGCAATTTTACTGTAGAACTAACAGTGAAGCCAGCTTTTTCCCAGATAGGAATGATGACTAACTGCACTGAAGCATCAGCTTCTTTTTCCCTGTAAACTTCTGTCAGGAATACCACAAAAGTGTGATTGTGTTCTCCTTAGTGCATCCTATCAGTATGTACATATTTCTTTATTCTGTTATGGGCAATATTGGCTTTGATTACTTGGTTAATGTTGTATCTGCCAGGCATCTTTACTATAAAAATTAGTGTTTTTCTCAGTAATATATAAGTGTCATGTGGGGAAGTATGTTGAGATTAGGTAGCATTCTGTTTTTTAACTAGCTTTCATCCACTAGTTTTATTAGTAAGCATCCCTTAATATTCCTTCCCAGAAACAATTATTACTATAGTGGTTTCCAAGTAATGATTCTTAAAGTTCCATCATTCCTTCCAAATTTAATAATTTGTGTGGCAGGCTAAATACTTCCTCTCCTTCTCTCAAATGATCACAACCTAATCACTGGGATAAGTTATTATATATTACCTTACGTGGCAAAATTAATTTTATTTTTTATATTTTAAGTCCTGGAAGACATGTGCGGAATGTGCAGGTTTGTTACATAGGCATACATGTGCCATGCTGGTTTGCTGCACCCATCAACTCATCATCTACATTAGGTATTTCTCCTAATGCTATCTCTCCCTAGCCCTCCCACCTTCTAACAGACCCTACTGTGTGATGTTCCCATCCCTGTGTCCATGTGTTCTCACTGTTCAACTCCCACTTATGAGTGAGAACATGCAGTGTTTGGTTTTCTGTTCCTGTTTTAGTTTGCTGAGAATGATGGTTTCCAGTTTCATCCATGTCCCTACAAAGGACATAAACTCGTTCTTTTTTATGGCTGCATAGTATTCCATGGTGTATATGTGCTACATTTTCTTATTCCAGTCTATCATTGATGGGCATTTGGGTTGGTTCCAAGTCTTTGCTATTATGAATGGTGCTGCAATAAACATACATGTGCATGTGTCTTTATAGTAGAATGATTTATAATCCTTTGGGTATATACCTAGTAATGGGATTGCTGAGTCAAATGGTATTGCTGGTTCTAGATCCTTGAGGAATTGCCCCACTGTCTTCCACAATGGATGAACTAATTTACATTCTCACCAACAGTGTAAAAGCATTCCTATTTCTCCACATCCTCTCCAGCATCTGTTGTTTCCTGACTTTTTAATGATCACCATTCTAACTGGTGTGAGATGGTATCTCATTGTGGTTTTGATTTACATTTCTCTAATGACCAGAGATAATGAGCTTTTTTTCATATGTTTGTTGGCTGCATCAATGTCTTTTTTAGAGAACTGTCTGTTCATATCCTTCGCCCACTTTTTGATGGGGTTGTTTTTTCTTGTAAATTTGTTTAAATTCTTTGTAGACTCTGGATATTAGCCCTTTGCCAGATGGATAGATTGCAAAAATTTTCTCCCATTCTGTAGGCTGCTTGTCCAGAAGGTTTCTTTTGCTGTGCAGAAGCTCTTTAGTTTAATTAGATCCCATTTGTCAATTTTGTCTTTTCTTGCCATTGCTTTTGGTGTTTTAGTCATGAAGTCTTTGCCCATGCCTATATCCTGAATGGTATTGCCTAGGTTTTCTTCTAGGGTTTTTATGGTTTTAGGTCTTACGTTTAAGTCTTTCATCTGTCTTGAGTTAATTTTTGTGTAAGGTGTAAGGAAGGGGTCCAGTTTCAGTTTTCTGCATATGGCTAGCCAGTTTTCCTAACACCATTTATTAAATAAGGAATCCTTTCCCCATTGCTTGTTTTTGTCTGGTTTGTCAAAGATCAGGTGGTTGTAGACGTGTGGCATTATTTCAGAGGCCTCTGTCCTGTTCCATTGGTCTATATATCCGTTTTGGTACACATACCATGCTGTTTTGGTTACTGTATTCTTGTAGTATAGTTTAAAGTCAGGTAGCATGATGCCTCCAACTTTCTCCTTCTTGCTTAGGATTGTCTTGGTTATACGGGCTCTGTTTTGGTTCCATGTGATATTTAAAGTAGTTTTTTTCTAATTCTGTGAAGAAAGTCAGTGGTAGCTTGATTGGGATAGCACTGAATCTATAAATTACTTTGGGCAGTATGGCCATTTTCATGATATTGATTCTTTGGTATGTTTTTGCAGTGGCTGGTACTGATTTTTCTTTTCCATATTTAGTACTTCCTTCAGGAACTCCCGTAAGGCAGGACTGGTGGTGACGAAATCTCTCAGCATTTGCTTGTCTGTAAAGGATTTTGTTTCTCCTTCACTTATGAAGCTTAGTTTGGCTGGATATGAAATTCTGGGTTGAAAATTCTTTTCTTTAAGAATTTTGAATATTCGTTCTCACTCTCCCCTCGCTTGTAGGGTTTTTGCTGAGAGACCTGCTGTTAGTCTGATGGGCTTCCCTTTGTGGGTAACGTGACCTTTCTCTCTGGCTGCCCTTAACATTTTTTTCTTTCATTTCAACCTTGGTGAATATTATGATTATGTGTCTTGGGGTTGCTGTTCTTGAGGAATATCTTAGTATTTTTCTCTGCATTTCCTGAATTTGAATGTTGACCTGTCTTGCTAGGTTGGGGAAATTCTCCTGGATTATATCCTGAAGAGTGTTTTCAAGCTTGGTTCCATTCTCCCCATCACTTTCAGGTACACCAATCAAACGTAGGTTTGGTCTTTTCACATAGTCCCATATTTCTTGGAGGCTTTGTTCATTCATTTTCATTCTTTTTTCTCTAATTTTGTCTTCACGCTTTATTTCATTAAGTTGAATTTCAATCTCTGATATCCTTTCTTCTGCTTAATCAATTCGGCTATTGATACCTTTGTATGCTTCACAAAGTTCTCGTGCTGTTTTTCAGCTCCATCAGGTCATTTATGTTCTTCTCTAAACTGATTAATTTAGTTAGGAAGTCTTCTATCTTTTCTTCAAGGTTCTTAGCTTCCTTGCATTGGGTTAAAACATGCTCCTTTAGCTTGGAGGAGTTTGTTATTACCCACCTTCTGAAGCCTACTTGTGTCAATTCGTCAAACTCATTCCCCATCCAGTTTTGTTCCCTTGCTCGTGAGGAGTTGTGATCCTTTGGAGGAGAAGAGGCATTCTGGATTTTGGAATTTTCAGCCTGCAAAAGGGTTTTTATAGATGTGATTAAATTCTCAACCTTGAGTTGGGATTATTATCCTGTATTAGCCAGGAGGGCTGACATAATCACACATATCCATATAAGAGAGAGGGCATGTAAGTTCTTTCCTGCCACATTCTTAGTCAGAGAGAAGATATTCTGCTGCTGACTTTAAAGATAGAGGAATGGGCCATGAGCCACGGAATACAGGTTGCTTCTAGAAGCTGGAGTAGTTGAGGAAACATGTTCTGTCCTAGAGCCTGCGGAAGATGTGCAGCCCTGTAGATCCAATTTAGTCTTTCTTTCTCCAGATATATAAGATATTTTTGTTATTTTAAACACCAAATTTGTAGTAATTTGTTTTAGCAACAATGGAAAACTAATAGAGTTGGCATTCTATATGAAGGAATAGCTTTCCTTTGTTCCTGTGTGTGTGTGTGTGTGTGTGTGTGTGTGTGTACGTGTGTGTATCAGGTATTATTTATCTATGTGTCTATCCATATATCTTAATATGGTCTTATGCATTCTTATTTCATTCTATCATTATTTTGATGCTGAAATGGTCAGTGTTTTGGCTAGAGAGGATCCCTTCTGGGTGGCTTATATGTCTTTTTTATATGTCTCCATACTTCTTAAAATATTTTCTTACTGTTGGCAAACTCAGATGAACTTGACATATCTGACACTTTTCTTTGGGAGGAACAGATAACTTTGTTTATCTTAGGTCAAATGACAAAAACTTTGAATAAAGCAATGGGGTTTCCTAATGAACAATTCACTAGAAATGCATGGAGTAGATAACACCAAGAGATGGTAATATTGTTGGCAAATATTTATTTTGTTATAACACCACATTTCTTTACCCTCTCAGGAAATGGAAAGTTTTTGTATTGTGCTTGAGAGTGGGGCAATGGTGAAGAACAGTGACTGGCTATGGGTTTGGGGAGTCATTTGGCAGGAGTGTAAATCCTTGAAATTTGAAGATCTTTCAAATTACCTTGATTCTCCTCAACAAAATACTAGCAAACCAAATCCAACAGCATATAAAAACCCAATTTCTTAGCTTTTTGTTGAAATAGCTATTTCCTCACGTTTTCTATCTTCTAGAGGTGACCTATATTCCTTGGCTCATGGCCCATTCTTCTATCTTTAAAGTCAGCAGCAGAGTATCTTTTCTCTGACCTCCAGCCTCCCTCTTATATGGACACAGGTGATTATATTAGCCTACCTGCCTAATCCAGGATAATATCCCCATCTCAAGATTCTGAATTTAATCACATCTATAAAAGTCCTTTTGCCATGTAAAGTAACATATAATCACAGGCTCCACAGATTAGGGTGTGAGCATTTGCATCGCAGAGAAAAAGCCTACCATGACCCCTTGCGTCCCAGGGATAAAGCCTACCATGATCAAGTAGGCTTTATCCCTGAGAGGAAAGGTTGGTTCAACATATGCAAATCAATACATGTGATTCATCACATAAACAGAAATGAAAACAAAAACCACATAATTATCTCAATACATGCAGAGAAGGCTTTCAATAAAATTCAACATCCCTTCATGTTAAAAACCCTCAATAAACTAGGCATTGAAGGAATATACTTCAAAATAATAAAAGCAATCTATAAAAAACCCACAGCCAACATCATACTGAATGGAAAAAGCTGGAAGCATTCCCCTTGAAAACCGGCATAAGACATGGATGCCCTCTCTCACCACACCTATTCAACATAGTACTGGAAGTCCTGGCCAGAGCAATCAGGCAAGAGAAAGAAATGAAAGGCATCCAAATAAGAAGAGAGGAAGTTATACTATTCCTGGTTGCAAAAGACATGAATCCGTATGAGAAAACCCCATAGTCTTGGTCCAAAAGCTCCTTGATCTGATAAACAACTTCAGAAAAGTTTCAGGATACAAAAGCAATGTACAAAAATTTAGCATTCCCATACATCAACAACATTCAATCTGAGGGCTAAATCAGGAATGCCATCCCATTCACAACTGCCACAAGAAGAATAAAATACCTAGAAATTCTGCTAACCAAGAACGTAAAACATCTCTACAATGAGAATTACAAAAAACTGCTGAAAGAAATCAGAGGTGCCACAAACAAATGGAAAAACATCCCATGCTCATGGATACTAAGATTCAGTATCATTAAAATGGCCACACTGGTCCAAAGCAATTTATAGATTCAGTGCAACTCCTATCAAACTACCGATGACATTGTTCACAGCATTAGAAAAAAACTATTTTAAAATTTGTATGGAACCGAAAAAGAGCCCTAATAGCCAAGGCAATCCTAAGAAAAAAGGAAAAAGCTAGAGGCATCACCTTACCCAACTTATACTAGAGGGCTACAGTATCCAAAACAGCACGGTACTGGAAAAAAAAAAAACAAAACAAAACAGATATATAGACCAATAGAATAAATAGAGAACCCAGAAATAGTGCAACACACCTACAAAAAAATATGATCTTCAACAAAGCTGACCAAAACAAGCAATGGGGAAAGGACTCCCCATTTTATAAAAGGTGCTGGGATAAGTGACTAGCTCTGTGCAGAAGATTGAAACTGGATGCCAACTTTGCACCACATACAAAAATCAACTCAAGATGGATTAAACACTTAAATGTTAAAATGAAAACTATTAATATAAAAACTCTGGAAGATAACCTAGGAAATACCATTCTGGACATAGGACTTGGGAAACATTTCATCATGAAGATGCCAAAAGCAATTGCAACAAAAACAAAAATTGACAAATGAAGCCTAATTAAACTAAAGAACGTCTCACAGTAAGAGAAACTATCAACAGTGGAAACAGACAACCTACAAAATGAGAGAAAATATCTGCATACAATGCATTTGACAAAGGTCTAATATCTGGCATCTAGAAAGAACTTAAACAAATTTATAAGAAAGAAACAATGCCGTTTAAAAGTCAGCAAAAGACATGAACAGACACTTTCCAAAAGAAGGTACACATGCGGCCAAGCATATGAAAAAATGCTCAATATCATTAATCATTAGAGAAATGCAAATCAAAACCGCAATGAGATACCATCTCGTACCAGGTGGAATGGCTATTATCAAAAAGTCAAATTATTAATAACAGATACATCAAGGTTATGGAGAAAAGGGAATGCTTATACACTGCTGGTGGGAATGTAAATTACCTTAGCTATTGTGGAAAATGGTGTAATGATTCCTCCAAGAACTTAAAACAGAACTACTCTTCCACCAAGCAATCCCATTAGCGGGTATATACCCAAAGGAATATAAATCATTCTACCATAAAGACATATGCACGAGTATGTTCATTGCAGCACTGTTCACAACAGCAAATACATGAAATCAACCTAAATGCCCATCAACAGTAGATTGGGTAAAGAAAATGTGGTACATAGACCCCATGGAATACTATGCAGTCATAAAAAGAATGAGGTCATTTCCTTTGCAGCACCATGGATGGAGCTGCAGGCCATCATCCTAAGCAAACTAAATGGAAAAGAGCCAAATACCACATGTTCTCACTTATAAGTGGGAGCTAAACATAAGAACACATGGATACTAGAAGGTGAACCACATGCACTGGGGTCTACTTGACGGTGGAGGGTGGGAGGAGGAAGAAGATCAGAAAAAATACCTATTGAGTACTATGCTTATTACCTGGATGATGAAATTATCTGTACTCCAAACCCCTGTGATGCGCAGTTTACCTGTATAACAAACCTGCACATATACCCATGAACCTAAAATAAAAGTTAAAAAAACCTAAACCCCAAATTACCTTCAACCTTTATGAGTTTTTACATTTGAAAGTTAAATCGATAACTTAATGACAATAATTCAACTCTCTCATGCTTATCCCCCTCATCTAACCCAAAACAAAACAAGATGGGATGCTGAGGTGAGGAACCTTTGAATTTTTAAATAGTATTAGGTCTAGCAGAACCTCAGAAAGACATGTTTACATTAAGAGGACTTTGACTATTGATATGGGCATGTAAGTTCTTTACTGCCACGTTCCTAGTAATTCCTGAATTGCACATGTATGAAATGACATTAATTCTCTCATACTTTAGGGTTGCTTGTTAGTGCCTAGAAGGAATACAGTCTCTGTGGCCAGTCTCCTTGGATCAACAAGAGCCTTGTAGTTTCCCATTTTTCATGCGCTAATAGTGAAAATGTTTAGAAAGCCCCATCTATCCTCCCACATTGGCATCCCACTGATGTGCTGTCCTGGTTGCTAGGTGCAGATTTAGGTTCCAAGCAGAACACTGCTAGTGTTCTCTGCAGTTTGTTGTAGAATCATAGTGTCTTGGCAACCAAAGGCAGATCTGGTGCTATGGAGGACCTGCTTACTGCTATGAGGTGTTACTTTATAGAGGTCCTGGAGAAGCTGATTGAGGCCACGTCAATGTTGCAAGGAGACATGAGACTCACATCAGAGTTCTATGGCTTAACATGGGGGATGGTGGTAAGTGCGGCTCTATTTGGATTTTGTAATTATAAAAGCCCACTTTATGTAGAGAGAAAAAAAAGAGTTTACCAGAGAAGTTTCTTCTGTAGTTGAAGACAAATGTAATGTTTTAATAAATTAGGCTGATTAAAAAAGAATATGAGCTTGGTGTGGTGGCTCATGCCTGTAATCCCAGCGCTTTGGGAGGCTGAGGCGGGTGGATCACCTGAGGTCAGGAGTTTGAGACCAGCCCGGCCAACATGGTGAAATTCCGTCTCTACTAAAAATACAAAAAATTAGCCAGGCATGGTGGCAGATCCTGTAATCCCAGCTACTTGGGAGGCCGAGGCAGGATAATCCTTGAACCTGGGAGGCAGAGGTTGCAGTGAGCCGAGATCACGCCATTGTACTACAGCCTGGGCAATGGGAGTGAAACTTTGTCTCTTAAAAAAAAAACGAGTATGAAGAGTATAAATTATTTTTCATGGAGTCTTGCCCTTAGAACAAGGCATTAAATCCTCTAAGTGTATAGGAAATTTGAGTTCAAAATAGATGCTTTGAAAAAAAGGAATGTTTTTGAAAAATGCGAATTTTTACAGATTTACAATGTAGAAGTGCAGTTGTGTTCCATGGATATATTGCATAGTGGTGAAGTCTGATTTTTCAATGTATCCATCATCCAAATAAAATACATTGTCCTCAGTAGGTAGTCTTTCATCCCTCAACCCTTTCCCAGCCTCCCACCTTTTGGAGTCTCCAATGCCTATATTTCACTCTATATCCACATGTACCCATTGTTTAGCTCCCACTTATAATTGATAATATGTAGCATTTGGCTTTTTGTTTCTGAGTTCTCTTAAGCCAATGGCCTCCAGTTACAGTCACGTTGCTGCAAAAGACATGATTTCAGTCTTTTTATGGCCAAGTAGTATTCTAAAGTGTGTATATATGTATACCACATTTTAGAAATCCAATAGTCCACTGATGGACACTCAGGCTGATTTTATTACTTTGCTATTGTGGATAGTGCTGCGATATACATAGACACATAGGTTTCTTTTTGATATAATGATTTCTTTACCTTTAGCTTGATATCCAGTAATGGGATTGCTGGATCGAATGGTAGCTCTATTTTTAGTTCTTTGAAAAGTCTCCATACTGTTTTCCACAGAGGTTGTACTAATTTACATTCCCACCAATAGTGTATGTAATCCTTTTCTCTATACCCTCGGCAAAATTTTTTTTTTCTGAATTTAATAATGGCCATTTTGACTGGCATAACATAATATCTCACTGTGGTTTTAATTTGCAGTTCTCTTATGATTAGCATTTGTTCATATGATTATTGGCCATTTATATGTCATCTTTAAAAAAAAAAGAACACCTTAAAGTTCAGAATGAATTACATTCATGGCTAGGTTTAGAATATGGGTTCCGTTACTGGAAGATGTGTTGAAGTCTTTTAAATAGTGAGAAGCTAATGCCAAAATAGCCTTAAAACTATGTCAGAAGAGGAAAAAAAACAACTTAAGACAGCAAAAAAAAAAAAAAAAAAATTGGGTTTGGATGAGCATTTCAATCTTGAGAAAAACCTAACGTGTTTGCAAAAGAAACTCAAGGATTGGATGACAAGTTTACCACTGGGCAAAAGGATATTTATATCCTTGGATTAAGTGTTAAGTGATAAGAAATCAAATCAAATAACTGAGTAAACAGTTGATGAATATTCCCTACTATACTTGGAGAAGATAAAATGGATGCTGGGACTTAGAATTGGATCAAATCAGAACAAGTACCAATCAATGTTCAGTCAAAGGTGATTGATTTGTTTATGCTTCTTAAAATACTTTTTTTTTTCTTTTTTGTGATGGAGTCTTGCTCTGTCGCCCAGGCTGGAGTGCAGTGGTGCAATCTCAGCTCATTGCAACCTCCATCTCCCGGTTTCAAGTGATTCTCCTACCTCAGCTTCCCGAGTAGCTGGGATTACAAGCATGCACCACCAATTCTGGCTAATTCTTGTATCTTTAGTAGAGACAGTGTTTCACCCTGTTGCCCAGTCTGGTCTCAAACTCCTGACCTCAAGTGACCCTCCCACTTTGGCCTCCCAAAGTGCTGGGATTACAGGTGTGAGCCACCGTGCCTGGCCTCTTACAAGACTCTTCATGGAGAGAGAAATAAAATAGAAATTAGGTTGTATGAATAACATTGAATCTTGAAGCCTTTAAAAATCACACTGAACATATTCGGCATGAATTAAGCATTTTTTAAAATTATACTTTAAGTTCTGGGGTACATGTGCACAATGTGCAGGTTTGTTACATAGGTATACATGTGCCATGTTGATTTGCTGCACCCATCAACTCGTCATTTACATTAGGTATTTCTCCTAATGCTATCCCTCCCCCAGTGCCCCCCACCCCCCGACAGGCCCTGGTGTGTGATGTTCCCCACCCTGTGTCCAAGTGTTCTCATTGTTCAACTCCCACTTATAAATGAGAACATGCAGTGTTTGGTTTTCTGTCCTTGTGATAGTTTGCTGAGAATGATGGTTTCCAGTTTCATCCATGTCCCTGCAAAGGGCATGAACTCATCCTTTTCTATGGCTGCATAGCATTCCACTGTGTATATGTGCCACATTTTCTTTATCCAGTGTATTATTGATGGACATTTGGGTTGGTTCCAAGTCTTTGCTATTGTGAGTGCCACAATAAACATACGTGTTCATGTGTCTTTATAGTATAATGATTTATAATCCTTTGAGTATATACCCAGTAATGGGATCGCTGGGTCAAATGGTATTTCTAGTTCTAGATCCTTGAGGAATCGCCACACTGTCTAAGCATTTGTCTAGTAAGAAAATGTAATTTGAAAGTAAGGTTCAGAACATTTAACCAAATGTTCAAGTAATTTCTAAACTGTATTGAGAAAATGGAATAAAGTTTCATAGATTATTTGTATTAGAAAAAGTTAATTAGAAAGTTTTCAAATGCACATTAAGTGATAGATACACACACACACAAAACAAAAATTCTTAGAGAAAAAAATGAAAAAACTGACCTGTTCTTATCAAAGACATGATTTCCCACATTTAAAAAACCTTGTAATAGTTGATTTACAGTTAAGTTGACTGATGGAAATCTCACTGATTTAAGAAAATCTATATGAAAGTCCAGATACCAGTATTTTTTCCTATAAAAAGCTACGTAGTCAATATTAAGGCTTTGTAAACCAAGACACAAAACTGGAGTATTATGAAAGTACTTATATAACAAAATTAAAAATAAATTCTCACAATTTTTTTTTGTTGCTGAAACAAAAGCACTGAAAATAATAAATACTAGCAAGAATGCAAAGTGAGGGAAACTCTCTTTGATTGCTGGTAGAAATGCAAAGTGGTGCAACCACTTTGACTATTTGGCAATTTTTATAAAGTTTAATATAGTCTTGCCATATGACTTAACAATCACATTCCTAAGTATTTACCCTAGTGAATTAAAACTTAGGTCCGTGTAAAAATCTGCATGCAAATGTTTATATCAGTTTCATTCATAATTACTCCAAACTGTAAGCAACCCATGCCCTTCAACAGGGGAAAGATAATCTTGGGTATTTCCACACAATGATCTATGATTTTGTGGAAGTTGATTGATCAATGAATACTATTGATCAATGGGATGGAATGAGCTACTGATACATGCAACAACATGAATATATGTTAAGGGTATTTTACTAAATGAATGAAGCCAGACTTCAAAGTCTGAATATTGTATGATTTCATTCATAAGACATCTGGGGAAAAAAAACCCACTGGGATGGAAACACATCAGTGGTATCCAGGGCTTAGTGTAAGGGAGATTAGTTTATTACAAAGAAGACACACAGGGGAATTTTTAAATGATGGAGTTGTTTTGTATGGTGCTGCACTAGTAATACACAAGTCCATGATTTATTAATCCCTAAGTAGTGTATCACAAAATTGCACTCAAATGCATGCAAATAAACAAGCAAAAATATCACCAAGATGTGGGAAGATCCTAGAATGGTATGACAGTGGCAAATCAACCTCACTTTATATAAATATGTAAGCTAACAACACTGAAAAGGGTAGAGAAGAAGTAAAAAGTGGCCTAACTTACCTTGAGAAATAATGTTTTGATTAAAAAATGTCAGACTGTAGACAAAAGTAACTTTGCATAAATATGGTATTCTGAATAGTAAATTTGTTTCTCATGCGGGTTCAGCTAATTCTGTAATTGCTTCACATGCATACCAGTTGAACAAAAATATTAAAATATGAACAGTGGCATCCAGGTTTCTCCCTGTTGGTAAGAGAAGTTACAGAGAAGCAAGAAAGGAAGGCCAGAATGACCATTAGGGACTGTGTTAGAGTCAGAGTTATCACTATGACCTCATGTTTAAACACAAGCCCAAATGCACATGGACACACACAGATGGACAAATAAGGAAACAACGACAGATATGTGTGTATTCAGGGCTTACTGTGTAGACACACATTACCTAGCCCTTTCTGCTGAAATAGCCTAGAAACAATGTTACCCTCATAGCAATGTGCACATGTCACACTCAGATAATGTTTTCTAATGCCATTTTCCAGTGAAAAGAAACAGAGATCGTTGGAGAAATGTCTGATTATAAGATATTTCTAAGCCTGGTGAAGAAATATATAAGAGAAGCCTGGAGAAGAACCAGTAATACCAGAAATCAGGGAGGGGCCCTGAAGAGAAAAGGATAACAAAAGGATGAAGACCTGTCCAAGGGACCCAGCAGCTAACTTGAAAGAGCTCTCAATGGGTAAAGCTGGAGCAATTTCAACAACAAAATAAATAACATATCACTGGATTATAACCTGAAGTATAAAACGTATGAGTCCATACTCTTATAAATAAATGATTGAATAAATACATAAATGAGAAGAAGGGAGAAATCTTCCTTACTAGTCTATTAATAGTCCCCACTTTCAGATGTGGAGCTCATGATCTCCTTTGTTAAGTGTAGGCTGGACTCAGTGACTGTCTTCCAAGGAATAGAGTATGGACAGGTAACAATTGTAAGTTTCAGTTTTATTTAGTGAAAACACTACCTTAACCAAGTGATTAAAGTCAGCACCATCAGTGATGCCATGTAGATATTATGTAACCCCTGCTCTGATGGGATAAAAAGGGCACTTTACCTCTGTGGTCTCCTCTGCAAAAATTCAAAGGCCCAGTGTAATTGATGGCAGCTGAAACCCATCTGGACTGTGATGCCGGCTGTAGTAGGGGAGATGCAGGTGTGGCTGTGCGCTCCGTGGAGCCCCTGGAGCCGGGAACAGGCGGAAGCCCCAACCCCTTATGAGTTGACAGGGCAAGAGCCTTGTGCTCCCCAGGCTCAGCTGCAGTTGCCCAGCAGCGGCTGTGGACAGGACATCCCTGTGCGCTTGGGGTTCAGGAGCAGGCAGAAGCCCCACCCTCCCTGGTGCAGCTGCAGCTGCTCAAGCTGTGTCTACAAACCTGGGCATCCCTGTGTTCTTGGGTGCCAGGAGTAAGAGCCCTGCCCTCCTGGGCGCAGCTGCAGATGCCCAAGCTGCAGCGGCAGACCCGGGCATCTCTGCACTCTTGGGGGCCTGGGAAAGCCCTTTTTGCCCCCGCAGGCTTGGAGGTGCCTGCTCCTGGTGTCTGATCTCTCCCTGCTCCTGGTGCGTGCTCTGATCTCGGAGCGTGGTTGAGGCCAGGCCCAGGTGCTATTGCAACCTGGCCTGGTGTGCCCACACTTGGGGCAGCACTGACATGCCAGTCTTCTGCCACCTCAGCCCCCTCTGGGCTTTGGGCACCAGTAAGCAAGGGAGGGAGGCTGGAGGGGGTGCTGCTGAGGGCAGCTTGGCGCTGGCCTGCAGGTGCCTCTTGGCAGGAACAGCCTGGGCACCGTCAACAGTGGCAGGAGGCCCACAGGCTCCTGAGCAGAAAGGGACGGGTCCCCGGTGAGGCCCCACCTTCAACTCAGGGAAGGATTGAAGCCTGGGAGACGGGCTGCCAGCCTCGCAGACTGGAGTGGGGACTTACGATGCTTTTTCCAAGCCTGCCCGTGGCTGCCCAAGGACCAATCAGCAAGCACTTCCTTTCCTCTGAAGTCCATAAAAATTCCCAGACTCAGCCAGACACAAAAAGATGTCAGGACAACCAGCTGCAGAGAGGAATTACCTACCCTAGGGTCTCTTTTCTGCTGAGACCTGAACACTCTGTGGGATGACCTGTCTGAGGAGAGGAGCTACCCACTCCAGGGTCTCCTCTCTGCGGAGAGCTGAACACTCGTTAGGACACCCTGGCTATGGAGAGGAGCGGGTTTCCTCTCAGCTGTTCTATTGTTCAATAAAGCTCCTCTTCACCTTACTCACCCTCCACTTATCCACATACCTCGTGAGTGTGGGACAAGAACTTGGGACCCACTGAATGGCATGGCTGAAAGAGCTGTCACACAAACAGGGCTGAAACATGCCCTTTCCTCACCTCATTGTGGTTGACATAAAGGAGATAAGAGATGCAACTCTTTGGGGAGCCCAGACCTAGGAGCTCCCTGAGCCAGGGCTGTGACACCCTTTTGGGTGGTTCTGTGGTTCCTGGTGCGGAAGCTGCTTGCAGTACACCTGGTCCAGCCGCAGACTTGCAGGGAGATGGCACCCCTGTCAGTGCCTGGAACTGCCTGCCCTGCTGCAGCAAGCATGCCTGGCTGTGTGCAGTAGCTGGACCCCACACTTGCTCCCTCATACACACCTGCCACAGTAAACATACTGCAGTATGTTGGGAGATATTGGATTTTACCAAAAGCTTTTTCAGCATCTATTGAGATGATCATATGGCTTTTCCTTTTAATTCTGTTTATGTGGTGAATCACATTTGTAGATTTGCAGATGTTCAACCAATCTTGCATGCCAGAAATAGAGCCTTCTTGATTGTGGTGTATTAACTTTTTGATGTGCTGCTGGATTTGTTTGATTAGTATTTTCTCAAGGATTTTTCCTTCTATGTTCATCAGGGATATTGGATGGAATTTTTTTCTTTTCTTTCTTTTTTTTTTTTTTTATTAAGCTAACTCACCTAACTTAGTGTGGGTCACATATCTTGGCTTGATAATCCCAAGCTGTGCTTAGAAACCCAGGTAGCACCAGGACATCCTGCAGCTCAGGGTTGGGCTCTGGCTGCACTGTGGGATCTGATATGCTTCTGGGTTGCTGGGAAAGTACTCAGGTGAAGCAAGGCATTCAGCTGGGCTGTGCAAGCTGCACAATGCACCTGCTTCTCCAGGGCAGCTAGGCATAGGACCTGAGAGGAGCCTGCAGGCAGGAGGGCTTGCAGAACAGATGTGTCTTAGTCCCATAGGGAAGCCAGCCCTGCTCTCCTTTGGCTTGACAGTCAGCTGAGTCAAGAGCCTTGCAGAGGGAGATGGGAAGCTCTCAGGGATGTGTGTCTATGGCTACCCTCCACCAAAGCTGCCCAGCACACAAAAGCTCCCAGGCTCTGCACTGTCTGAAGTACTGTCTCTGCCTGTTCCCCAGGGAGATACCCCTGCCAGCTAACACATTTATGGGGGATATGGGGTCTCTCATAGCTAGGATCCCAGAGGTACATGACAAGAGTGAGCTGTCCCTCAGTTCCCTGGCTCACCAATTTCCCAGGAGCCATCTGGGGCTGGGAACTAGCCCTGGCATTCAGGTACCACTTCAGGGTTTCCAGATTTCTGACTCTACAGCCTCAGCTTCAGCTTTGCTTCTCCATACACTCAGTGTTTTCTCTCCTAAGATCACACATTGACTTTGTATCCTGAGACTTTGCTGAATTTGCTTATCAGCTTAAGGAGATTTTGGGCTGAGATGATTAAATCAACCAATTTATGTTGATTAACTCAATAATTTGGTCTCTCTCGGTGAAAGCAGTGCTTCCTGGCTGCAACTAATTGGACATCTTGTCCCTTCCCATCTGTGTAACACATTTTTTATACATGCTTTATTTTGTCATAATTTTAGCTTTACAGAAAAGTTGCAAAGATGGCAAAGAATTCCCATATACACCTCAACCAGTTTCACTTTCACTTAATGTTACATTTCTCTGGTACATTTTTCAAAATTCAGAAACTAACATTGGTATGTTACTACTACCAAAACTCTAGACTATCTTTGGATTTCAGCAAGATTTTCTTTAACATCCTTTTTTTGTTGCAGAATCCCATCCAGGACACTCCATTGCCTTTAGTTGTCATGTGTTTCAGTTTCCTGAATCTCTGTTATCTTGTTTTTCATGATGTTGATAATTCTGAGTACTGCTCAGGTATCTTACAGAATGCACTTCAATCATGGTTTGTCCAATGTTTTCTAATGGTTATGTTACGGGATCCTTGGGTTATCACTTCACCAGCTGAAAACCTCTGTGGCTAGTGGCACTTATGCTGGGGTTTTGCTCAGGCCCACTGGCCCACTCAGCCTGGCAGCCTGTGCTCAGCTTACATTACCAGCCTGGATACTGCACACAGCCAGGCATGCTTGCTGATATTTCTGGTTCTAGATCCTTGTGGGAGTGTAAATTAATTCAACCATTGTGGAATGCCACAGTAAACATACATGTACATGCATGTTTATAGTAGAATGATTTATAATCCTTTGGGTATAAACCCAGTAATGGGATTGCTGGGTCAAATGATATTTCTGGATCTGGTTCTAGATCCTTGTGGAATTGCCACCCTGTCTTCCACAATGGTTGAATTAATTACACTCCCACCAACAATGTAAAAGCATTCCTATTTCTCCACATCCTCTCCAGCATCTGTTGTTTCCTGACTTTTTAATGGTCACCATTCTAACTGGCGTATGATGGAATCTCATTGTGGTTTTGATTTGCGTTTCTCTAATGATGAGTGATGATGAGCTTTTTTCATGTTTGTTGGCTACATAAATGTCTTCTTTTGAGAAGTGTCTGTTCATATCCTTTGCCCACTTTTTGATGGGGTTGTTTTTTTCTTGTAAATTTGTTTAAGTTCTTTGTAGACTCTGGATATTAGCCCTTTGTCAGATGGATGGATTGCAAAAATTTTCTCCCATTCTGTAGGTTGCCTGTTCACTCTGATGATAGTTTCTTTTGCTGTGCAGAAGCTCTTTAGTTTAATTAGATCCCATTTGTCTATTTTGGCTTTTGTTGCTATTGCTTTTGGTGTTTTAGTCATGAAGTCTTTGTCCATGCCTATGTCCTGAATGGTATTGCCTAGGTTTTCTTCTAAATCTTTTATGGTTTTAGGTTTTATGTTTAAGTCTTTAATCCATCTTGAGTTAATTTTTGTATAAAGTGTAAGGAAGTGGTCCAGTTTCTGTTTTCTGCATGTGGCTAGCCAGTTTTCCCAACACCATTTATTAAATAGGGAATCTTTTCCACATTGCTTGTTTTTTTCAGGTTCATGGAAGATCAGATGGTTGTAGATGTGTGGTGTTATTTCTGAGGCCTCTGTTCTGTTCCATTGGTCTATATATTTGTTTTGGTACCAGTACCATGCTGTTTTTAAAACCTGTTTTATAAAAAAGGGAATTATTGTGAGACTTCAATGAGCCAGTGCATACACATCTAGATTTTGGACAGTGCCTGAAACATAGGAAGGATCTAATGAATGTAAGCCAGTTATCATTAATAGTATGATTAGCATTAATCATTAGTAATAATCATTACTCATAATATTGAGTCATTATTTCAGCTTGTCATGTGTATGAAAAAGCAGAGATATAATTTATTATTGGTAATCCCAGTGCTTATTGTAATTTTATAATATTATGATATGAAATGATTAAATGTATATGTCACTTCTTTGTTTCTAGCATAGTGCAGAGAACATAGTTTCCTCATAAGTGAAAGTCAAGTCAATAGTAGGAGATATTTGGTTATCTGAAGGGCATAGCTGATAACAGTAATTGACTCAGCAGCTCTTCCTTCTTATTCTATTATTTTCACAGCCTCTACTCCTCTTCACCTTTTATATGGCACTGGTGCCAGTTCATTTATCAATTCTTTTTTTTTTTTTTTTGCATTATCAGTAAATAAACTTATCCCTTGACAAGAGAATGGTGATTCCACTGTTATCTTAAACCTTTTCTTATTTATGCATCCTGCATATATCAAAAGAAACCTCAAATACCACTGATTCTTTTTCAATTAAAAAATTCCCACTGACTTTTTTATGTGTGGAGATATAATAAGCAAATTTTCATTCAAAAGTTTCAAAGGATAAGAAGGATTTTTGGAATCACTAAAAATACTTGATATTTATTTCAAGGTTCCCTGGAAACAAATTGGACATTCTGATTACTTAACATGATGCAACCCAGAGGTAATGATGTAGGTTAGATGATCTTGAAAGACCCTTCCCAATCATGGTAACATAATTCTCTGTGGTAGACACCACTCGCCTTTATTCTAAGTGTCCTAGAGATATCCATGCCTTTCTTTGTGTTGTGTTTCAAGGAAGTCTGGTGCAAAGACTGATACATGCAATGATGTTTTGAGCTTTCAACTCTTTTGCCATTCTGACTCAACTACCTTTTGCCCACAGATTGAGAATAAAATTATCATGTATCTTGCACTGCCTTAAGAACATATAAGTAAAAATCTTAAGATGAGGTAAAAGTGTGTTACAGATAATGTCTTCAGTCACCGGGATATTTTTGACTGACATGGGCTGTCCTTGCCAGGTTCCTAATGGATTTCCACAATGAGAAGCTGATTTTATAGACATTAGTAACATTTGCACTGTCACAGAGAGAAGGTTGTGGCTTTTAATAAAACCAGCCAGTATTTATTAAAGTCCTACTATTCTCACAATGTTGTGTCCTTTATTTTAACCTTAGGGATTCTGAGTCCCTCAAGTTTAATTGGTCATTGTGTCCCCAGAGGCAATAAGTTAACTCTATTCCCAATTGCACTGGTGGCATAATACTGACACATAGGTAGTTCACAAATTCTAAAACTAGGGTGAAGATTAGAGTTATAAAACATGAACTATGAAAAATAGGTTTGGAATGTATTAATTTGAAGAGCATAAGGCTAAATAAACATACAGCCACAAATTTCTTTATTTTTCATTTTTAAATTTTATAGCTGTATTGAGATATAATTTATTTACAATACAGTTCACCCATTTAAAGTGTACAAGTCAATGATTTTTGGTATATTTCATTACTAATTTATAACATTGTGGTAATATATAACATAAAATTTGCCATTTTAACTATTTTTAAGTGTACAATTTAATGGTGTTAATTATATTCATACTATTGTGTAAATCTTGCCACTATTTTCTAAACTTTTTCGTCATCCCAAACAGAAACTCTAACCCTTAGTGATAACTCTCCATTCCCCTCCCCCATCCCCTAGTAACTTTCAACCTACCTTATGTCTGTATGAATTTGCATGTTCCAGATATTTCATATTATTGGAAACATACAATTTTTGCCCTTTTAGGTCTGGCTTATTCATTTAGCATAAGATGTACATATTGCTTTATAGCCTGCTTTTTCACTTAGCAGCATATTGTGAGAATGTTCATGGTTAGGCAGGGACTAGGCAGTGGAGTTGGGTGGAATTTTGCAAACCATACTTAGGAGTTTGGATTCTGTTTTGTAGGACTTGGTCTCAGGGTCAAATAGGGAGTCTTTTGATGGTGTATATAGGAAAATGGTATTTCTATTGTTTACTGATTTTTTTGTGATGAATATGCTTGGACTAAATCTCCCAAAGATCTGTGGTTAAAATATTATTTATATCATATGATGTCATTTAACATAAATTAACACACTGAAGTTTAAGGTTAGCATTAATTCACTGGAGCAGAACAAGTAGAAATAATGAGATTGCAACTGGAATAGTTTTTGAAAATAAGAAGATTTATGCAATGTATAACTTAATAAGTGCTCACCAAAGATTTTCAGTGAAATAAAGAAAATTATAATTAAATTAAATATCTAGTATCAGCCTGGATATAGCCTGGATATATATTGTTTGTTTGTTTTGTTTTGTTTTGTTTTGTTTTTAAGACAGGATCTCACTCCCATGGCCCAGGCTGGAGTGCAGTGGTGCGATCACAGGTCACTGCAGCCTCGACTTCCCAGGCTGAGGTCATCCTCCCGCCTCAGCTGCCTGAGTAGCTGGTACCACAGGTGCACGCCACCAAGCCCAGCTAATTTTTGTATCTTTTGTAGAGATGGTGTTTTAATACATTGCCCAGGCTGGTCTCCAACTCCTGGGTTCAGGCCATCCACCTGCCTTGGCCTCTCAAAGTGCTGGGATTACAGGTGTGAGCCATGGCACCTGGCCACATGCTCGTATTTTAATGTATTTGTTTCCCCTTACTTTTCTTTTGTGTATCATTTTTTTGTTTTGAGATGGAGTCTTGCTCTTTTCGCACATGCTGGAGTGTAATGGCACGATCTCGGCTCACTGCAACCTCCGCCTCCTGGGTTAAAGCAATTCTCCTGCCTCAGCCTCCTGAGTAGCTGGGATTACAGGCACCCACCACCATGCCTGGCTAATTTTGTATTTTTAGTAGAGACGGGGTTTCTCCATCTTGGTCAGGCTGGTCTCGAACTCCCGACCTCAGATGATCTGCCTGCCTTGGCCTCCCAAAGTGCTGGGACCTCACCTGTAGTGTGAGCCACCTCCCGGCCATATCATGTATTTTTATAAATTGTAAACTGACATATGTAAAACAATCATTTTCTAATTTATAAAATTTTCTTGATATGCAGTTTTTGAAGCTATGTAACATTCTTTTTTAAATTAATAATTCATATATACATTATATATGTACATATATATACTTTCTCATTCTTCTACAATTAAATATATTTTCTGAATTTGTCACCTTATACTATAGATCATTCAGAATAAAGTGCTTTCCATATGTGATCTCTTTTAGACTGTTTATCAGAAATGATGTCAGTGAATTAAAAGTATTAGTATAGGCTGGGTGAGGTGGCTTACACTGTAATCCTAGCACTTTGGGAGGCTGAAGTGGGAGGATTACTTGAATTCAGGAGTTTGAGACCAGCCTGGGTGACATGATGAACTCCTGTTTCTACTAAAAATGCAAAAAAAAAAAATTAGCCAGGCATGGTGGTGCATACCTATAGTGTCAGCTACTCTGAAGACTGAGGTGGGAGGATTGCTTGAGCCTGGGAGGTGGAGGTCACAGTGAGCCAAGATTGTGCCAGTGCACTCCAGCTGGGGCAACAAAGCAAGACCCTGTCTCAAGAAAAAAAATTTTTAGAAGTGTTAGTATATAACAAATACATATTTCGAATTGCTTTTAAAAGGAATAGAATTGTTTGGACTTGAATTATAATAGAAAAGTAATTTTAGACAACTTATAAAAGCATAAATCTCACAAACATCATTGAAGAGATATACATATGTGTGTGTGTATATATATATATATATGCCTCCTCTTTTGATTTTCCTTATATCTTTTCAATTTTAATGTTGAATCCTAAATTATCCTCAGGGTTGTAAAGTTGCTTTTATTTTCCCTATTCCCCTTTAAATCCTAAGGTATACAATAGTGGTACTTCCTGTCATATCTTCATTTGCATTAGCAGTCAGACCCCTGAAATAAATCAGACAGATATTGGGATGACAGTAGCAAATTACCACAGATTGAAATAAGTAGTAGCCCCAATTGAATCTGCTGGAAGAGATATGTTATCCTTGATAGAGTATATTAGCATGTTACTGAGTACCCCGTATGCATACATTGATCTGGTAAATGTTTTCTTTTTCATCCTTATCAGGAAACATGATCAGGGAGTTTGCACTCACTTGGAGCTGACAATACTATACCATGTCCCAGAGCTATGCTAGGTTTTTCATCTTCCATCATAAAATACTGAAGAGAACGGGACTAGCTGTATATTCTGTAGGCCGTCACACTGGCCAACTATATCTAACACATCATGCGTATCAGACAATATGAACAAGAAGTGGTCAATACATTAAAAGCCTTGATAAGACACATGTGATCCAGAGAGTGAGTGTTGCACTCCATAAAGATTCAGGGACCTAAAGCATAAAAGTTTTAAGTGTTTATTGGTCTGGGGCACTATGAGACATTCTATCTAAAGTAAAGGATACATTTTTGCATTATGCATTTCCTATCATAAAAAAGAAGCAAAGTGCCTGGCAGACCTCTCTGTACTTTGTAGTAAGCATATTTGACACTATCGAGTACTGTTCTAATTCATCCACTAGGTGCTGTATTTGAATGGCCTTCAGGGTAAGAATGGGCTCTATAGCAAGTCTAAATTTCACCATAAATGAGGTGGAATTTATGGCAAGTTTATGGGAAGATCATAACAAAATTCTTAGGGTTTTGATAAAACTCTGCTATCTACAGCACAGGATTGTATACATTTCAAAAATAAAGCCCTGGTGTTTTACTGAATTCTGGGTAGAGAAATAACATCTGACCATGGAACAACAAATAACCATGCAGGCAAAACTACCCATATGAGCTGGGGACTGTCTGAACCATCAAGTTATTAGGTTGAGTGGATACAGAGCAATCACTGTAACACGGCATTAGTACATCCAGGATTGACCACAGCATGACTAGAGGGCAGAGGCAAACAGTATGAGCAAGTAGCCCAGGACTTCATGCTATTCACCACTTTTGCATCAATATCTCTTCTTCAGACCACACTTACGCCTCCAAGAGAGAACACTTCCAACTCTAATGGAGGAGAAAAATGTCAAGCTTGGTTCATTAATGGGTCAGCTTGGTATGTGAGTCCAAGTCAAAAAGGATGAAGATAAATTATAGCCTCGCTTACGGTGATCTTGAAAAATAGTAGTGAGGAAAACGCCTCCCAATGGACAGAGTTTCAGATGGTACCCAGTCATTCACTTTGTGTGGAAAGAGAAGTAGTTTGAAGTTAGAATATGTATAACTCATAGGTAGTGATAAATGGCTTAGGAGGCTTTTCAGGTGGCTGGAAAGAAAAAGATAGAAACACTTGGAAAAAAGAAGTCTGGAACAGAGGCACATGCATAAACATATAAGAGTGAAGGTATGAAGTGTTGCATTATTTGTATTACATGCTAAAACTACAAGATGGAATCCATCATAGAAAATGAATTAAGCAACTAGGTAGAAAACGTGACTTGGCGAGCAGTTATTGTCAAGAGCTTCTGACATTTGCCCTCATTATCCTACCTGCAATGCTAGAGCAATGAGCTTATGAATGAAGCCACCATGATAGTAGGGATAGAAGCAATGCATGGGTTTAACAGCATGCATTATAGCCACTGGTCAAACATCCAGTCTTCCATCAATAAGTGTCCCATGCAATGACTGGATAAAATAGTTTCCCATCAAAAGATCAACCAGTTATTTAATGTCAAGTTGATGACACTGGACTTTTTCTACTTTGAATGTAGCAATTTTTTTTGGTAGGAATAGATACACATACTCCAGGCATGGGTTTCTATTCCTGAACATAAGTTCTCAGCCAGCATGACTGTCTAAAGGCTTATAGGATGTTTGACGCAGCAGCAGGAGATCCCACATACCATTGTATCAGAAAAAAGGGCCGACTTAATGGCAAAGAAAGTGTAGGAGTGGACTTATGACCATGGAATCCATTGGCCATATCACATATTGCACTATCATAAGTGATCTATTAGAGTCATGGAGGGATCTGTTGAAGCTACACCTGAAATTCCAGCTCAGATGAAATGTCATCCTTCAAGACCCAGTACTTTAAATGAATTATCTTTCTATGGTGCTGTGTCCTCACTAGGAAGAATGCATGGTTTAGAAACCAAAAGGTGAAAGCCCTTCTTAGAATCCCTACCAGTAACTCATTTGAGAAATTTGTGTTTTTTTTCTCCACAATTATAAGCTCTGTGAGTTTAGAGGTTCTAGCTCTCTAAAGGGAAATATTCCCACTAGGGGGTACAAAAGGTACACTAGGAAGTGTATACTTTGTTTAATTATGATGGTAAATGACCAAAGGCAATGAGATTAACTAAAAAAAGCCATAGTGATCAGGGGCTCAGACACTTCCGGATCATGACACCAGGTAAACCACTGAGAGCAGGAGAGGTGCCAGATAAGGGTGAGAGCAACACAGAATGAATAGTAAGAAGGAGATGGTGACCATAGTTTGTAGGACTTAAGACCAGCCGCAGTGGTGGTCCTCTTCTAAGTTTCCTCCAGATACAGAGGCCCACTATAGCCCTGTAAGAGCTTTTCCCAGATCTTTTTTAATCAATTAATTAATTAATTTTTTTATACTTTAAGTTCTAGGGTACATGTGCACAACGTGCAGGTTTGTTACATGTGTATACATGTGCCATGTTGGTGTGCTGCACCCATTAACTCGTCATTTACATTAGGTATATCTCCTAATGCTATCCCTGCCCCCTCCCCCACCCCACACCCGATCTTATACAAAGGAGTAGATCTGAAATTAAAGGAATAGACAGTGTTGGAAGTTATAATGCTTTACTCAGATAACACTTTCAGAATGAAGGCATTATTACTTCAGCTGCTAGATGTGCTACAGGTAGATAGAGCTCAGCTGAGATCCTTCTTTCTGGGTTGCCTCAGCTAAACAGAGTTGCTTCATCTAAACATATGGCCCTTTTCCATGTAATCTGCATTCAACACTGACCAACAAGGAGATTTAAGGCTTGCCGTTGGCCTCAGCTCAGAACATCAATGAATTGTCATCTCATATTGAGAACTTCCTACAGGGTTCAGTGAAACTTTAGTAGTTTGCATTACAAACTTCCAAAGTAGGTAGTTTGCATTACTTCCTTTCCTCAATCATGCTACCCACCCTTTCCTTTGAAAGATGTTGATCCAAAAAATGTTCCCTAGTAAACTTTCTAAATGCTGATCTCCATCCCTGAGTCGGCTTCCTGGGAAACTCCATTCTCATCTCTCTCTCTATATATATATCTATATATAAAATATATACATTATATATGTAATATATAAAATACATGTATAATATATAATACATATGTATTATATGTATACAGGGAACAAGAAGAGTGAAACATTTAAGAAAGAAAGTTAATTTAGGGATGCATTAGCCAGGTTGTGTGTAATGAGAGCTCAGTTCTCTAAAGGCCTTCTGAAAAGCACACAGGATGTTTTTGCCTGAAGGGAGAGCTGCTGGACCATTTATTCCTAGTTAAAATTCTTCATTGTTGGAGGATTTCCCCTAGGGTCATTAAGCATTTTGTACTTCTAGGCAGCACTTGTCTATATGCCAAATGGGCTCCCATGGTGTCAGACAAGCCTTGGGGCCAAGGGAAGCCCTATACAGCATACTTGAGGTAGGTCACTGTCAATATGTGTGAGATAATCTGAGTTCACACACAACTGTCCCTTGCAGCTCTGCTGAAATTAGAGCTGGGCTGAAGAGATGTGATACACTGGTACTAGAGGCATCTACTTTAGAAGGTGAGATAGAAATGCTGTATTTTACATTTACAACCATAGGAATGGAGGTGTGCTGGCTTTTACCATGAACTCCCCCAGATAGTGTTCTGAAAAGCAGAGGAGGCCAACTAAAATAAAATCACAGGGAAAACTATATTTGCAGGAAGAAGATAATCTCAAGAGAAGCAGAGATTAAGAGTATTCTTGAATTTTGCATAGTAAAAACCATCTAGTCTAAGACTGTCTCCCCTAACCAAGGACCTTTTACAAATAGTTGATCCAGGGGGAAAAAAAAAAGCATCTACTTCAATGATTAGTAATTTAAAAGGAACTGGAAGAGATAAGACATATGGATGCATACATATATAAAAATAGCTAGATAGAGACCTGCAGGTGATAATATACAAGAAAGAAAATGGGGAAAGGAAAAGCAATCTGAATAGACAAAAAACGAAACCAGTAGTTAGTGGTTATGAAGTGGATGAAAATCGAAGGGTGGGATAAGAGGCAGGTTGATTCTGAACATGGAAAAATCTACAAGACTGAGATTCTTTAAAACATCAAACTACTCTTCTACTTTAATATAATATCAAACTCAAATTCACAACCAAAGTGGTAACATTTCATCACTAATTTGAAAAATTCTAAATAAAATAAAGGAAAAATAACACACACACAAAACAGAGAATATATAGATTTTCTAGAATGCACAGCATAGTAAAGACAAACATGAGTAAAATTATGGTGAAATTTAAGCCATGAGGGTCAGTGCATCTTAATGCCCTGGGACATTGTACTTGAGGGTTTACCAGTAGATTAATACCCTTTAAGCATGAGAATTACTGATTGAGAGAACTTCAAATGAATTTGCTTCTAGTGTGTTGATAAAGTTAAATGTGATTTATCATAGGTGGGTAAGAATATGGTTGGTAGATAGGAGACAACAGGGCTAGGATATTCAGAAAATAACCTCCAGCAAGCTTTGTAAAAGCAAAAGCATATATTGATGTAAAAACTTTACATATGTAATTGCATGATATACCATCATGTTGCTCAAACTGCATTAAAGTGTGATTGAGAATTCACCACAATGTATGTTGATGTAATAGTAAATATCAGATTATGTCATAATTTTTCTTAGAATTATGGCTTGAGTGATCTATTTGACACAGTTATTATTGTTAATGATTTTAAATATTTTCATCTAATTTCAAGCTTTTGGTTTTCTTTAATGTACTTTATCATTCTTCATCAAAGAAGGTCATGTAGAAATATAATGTTTCTTTTTTCTAGATGTTATTTTTACTCATGCTCTGCAAAACTTTGGTAATAAATTTTGGTTTCTGGAACAATCCATTGAACAGTTTCATCATCATGATAATTATTGCTAACTTACATTGAACAGTTACTTTGTGCCAAGAACACTTTTTAGTATTTCCCACATTTGCACATTTAATCTCTCCAACAAGCATATGTAGGTTTTTAATTTTGCTCATTTTCCAAATACAAAATCTAAGGAAAGAACTAAAGTAAGAACAAAAATGTTAACTACTTTTCCTAACATCACACAGCATGAAGGTGGCTGAGGGAGAATTCAAGCTCATCAATAACAGACAGAGTGAAAAGGAGGAATGGAGAAGAGGAGAATGAGAGAGAAAAAAGAGAAGATAAAGGGAGAAGATCCAGGGAGAGAAGAGGGGAAGCAAAAAAGAGAGAAACATGGGAGACAGAGAGTGAAATAAATCAAGATACAAGGTCACAGAGAAATAAGAGAACAAAAGAAATAGAGAAAGTTATAAAGCTAATAGGCAGTGATTAGAACTATGTAATAAATGTGGTAAATGTATACTCTTTGAGAGCACAGATGAAACACATCTAATATTTAGCAAAGTGATTTTCACTAGCAGGTGCTTACATGTATTTTATATAATATTTATAATGAACAATTTTAATCAGAGACAAAATATGAGGAAGATGTAAAAGAGGAAGAGAGAGAGTGAATGATGAATATCAAAGATTAAAGCACTTCACTAAATCTTGTATTTTTTCCCAAAATACAGCTGGTGAAAATCTTATCCTTGAGTAGAAAGGAATCAAACAAGTCATATACCACCCGTCTTCCTGTCTGTACTGGAACCATCACAGGCTTTTGAGGAACTACTTTTGAACCGTTCCCCAGAGAGGCATTTGCCCCAGTAGCTATGATTATAATTTGCAATGACAGCCACAGTGATTTCATCCTTCTGGGCTTCTCTAACAAGCCACATTTGGAGAAGATACTTTTTGGATCATTTTTATTTTTTATTTTTTGACTCTTGCAGGAAATATGGTCATAGTTCTTGTGTCCTTGAAGGATCCAAAACTCCACATCCCTATGTATTTCTTTCTTTCCAACCTTTCCTTGGTAGACCTCTGTTTGACCAGCAGCTGTGTTCCACAGATGTTGATTAACTTCTGGGGCCCAGAAAAGACCATCAGCTACATTGGCTGTGCCATTCAACTCTATGTTTTTTTGTGGCTTGGGGCCACGGAATATGTCCTTCTTGTTGTCATGGCTGTGGATTGTTATGTAGCAGTGTGTCATCCACTGCAAAATACCATGATCATGCACCCAAAACTTTGTCTGCAGCTGGCTATCTTGGCATGGGGGACTGGCTTGGCCCAGTCTCTGATCCAGTCCCCTGCCACCCTCCGGTTACCCTTCTGCTCCCAGCGGATGGTGGATGATGTTGTTTGTGAAGTCCCAGCTCTGATTCAGCTCTCCAGTACTGATACTACCTACAGTGAAATTCAGATGTCTATCGCCAGTGTTGTCCTCCTGGTGATGCCCTTGATCATTATCCTTTCCTCTTCTGGTGCTATTGCTAAGGCTGTGCTGAGAATTAAGTCAACTGCAGGACAGAAGAAAGCATTTGGCACCTGCATCTCTCACCTTCTTGTGGTTTCTCTCTTTTATGGCACTGTCACAGGTGTCTACCTTCAACCAAAAAATCACTATCCTCATGAATGGGGCAAATTTCTCACTCTTTTCTACACTGTAGTAACCCCAACTCTTAATCCCCTCATCTACACTCTAAGGAACAAGGAGGTAAAGGGAGCACTAATAAGATTGGGGAGGAGGACCTGGGATTCCCAGAATAACTAACAAGGTTAACATATGTTTACCTTTGCTTAACCTAAGAATAGAGAACAACCTCATCACAAAAAGCTGGAGATACACCTCCTAAGCCAAAAGTAGGAGAGAAAGAGCTGCATTCTGTTCAGGTTGAGATTTCAGTTTCCTTCATCAATCAATTGGGCCCTTAAATTCTTCATATTGTGGATTTAGACACAGTATGGTATAAAAATTAATATATTTAATAGCTATTGTCTTGAAAAGGACACAATGCAATTGAATGGGGGAGGAGGAGAAGACACAAGAAACACATTACTTGCAAAATAAAATACTAAGTAGTACGTTTCATGCCTTTCTATTTCGTTCTTTTTTTGTTCTATTTTCCTACAAGCTCCACCAGTGCTTTCAGTCCCAACAAGATTTCTAAAGTTTTGAGACAGAAACTTCTTGATCAACTTATATGTACCCCTATACTGTAATATGGCAGGTCTTGGTTTTAATTGCTTCTGTCTCTCTGTCTCAGCATGACCACTGTTGACCTGTAATGTGACTTTCACTATCCAATGCAAAGTGTTTGCCATGCCAAAGTCCACATTTACTGCTCTCTGGTGCTGATACTATGATGAGTGTGTGTGCAAGTTTCTCAGTTTGAGCCTTGATATTCTGGGCCCCCAGTTATAGGAATAGACTTCTGTGTTTTTCTTCATTCTGAGGCCTTATTGTAACAAAATGGCTATCTTTTTATCAGACCCAATTATTCTTTCACTTTATAGATATTTATGGCTTTCCTATTATATACCTATTATGTTTCAGATGGTAGTTATGTAATAGTAGATAAAACATATAAAATAATCAACATCGTGGAACTTATAACAATATCATCTCTTGCTCTTAGACTCTTTCACAGTATTGATATAATATTAGATTTGCCTCATTACAAAACCCATTTGTTTATTGCTTTACTCTTAGCTATTATTTGTCTTCTCCATTTACAACCAAACTTTTTCAATTTTGGAAGGAATATTAGGTTCAGCCACTGTGTTGCTTCAGATTGCAGCTAACAACACTGGTCTAGCAAGTGCTTCCCCCTCAGTTCACTCCTGTTCAGAGACAGTGACAATGTGATAGAAAATAAAAACCCATTTTCTGAGGAGAAATTCAAGCAGGCTGCAGAAATTTGCATAAGTAAGAAGGAGCCAAATGTTAATCACCAAGACAATGGGGAAAATGTCTCCAGGGCATGTCAGAGGTCTTCACAGCAGCCCCTCCCATCACAGGCCCAGAGGCCTAGGAGGGAGAAACAGTTTCCTGGGCCAAGCCCAGAGCCCCCCTGCTCTATGCAGCCTTGGGACATGGTGCCTGGTGTCTTATCTGCTTCAGCTCCATCCTTGGCTAAAAGAGGCCAAGGTACAGACCGCTTCAGAGAGTGCAAGCCCCAAGCATTGGCAGCTTCCACATGGTGTTGGTCCTGTGGGTGTGCAGAAGACAAGAACTGAGCTTTGAGAACCTCCGCCTAGATTTCAGAGGATGTATTGATGTGCCTGGATGTCCAGGAAGAAGTTTGCTGGGTTGGCAAGAGCCCTCATGGAGAATCTCTGCTAGGGCAGTGCAGAAGAAAAATGTGGTGTTGGAGCCCTTACACAGAGTACCCACTGGGGCACTGCCTGGTGGAGCTGTGAGAAGAGGGTCACCATCCTCCAGACTCCAGAATGATAGACCCACTGACAGCTTGCACTGTGTGCCTGGAAAAGCTGGAGACACTCAATGCCAGCCTGTGAAAGCAGCCAGGAGGGGAGCAAAGCCACAAGGATGGAGTTGCCCAAGGCCATGGGAGCCCACCTCTTGCATCAGCTTGACCTAGATTTGAGACATGGAGTCAAAAGAGATCATTTATGAGCTTTAAGAATTGACTGCCCTGCTGGATTTCGGACATGCATGGGTCCTGCAACACCTTTGTTTTGGCCAATTTCTCCCATCTGGAATGGGTGTATTTACCCAATGCTGTACTCCCATTGTATCTAGGAAGTAACTAACTTGCTTTTGATTTTACAGGCTTATAACCAGAAGGGACTTGCCTTGTCTCAGATGAGACTTTGGACTTGGACTTTGAGTTAATGCTGGAATTAGTTAAGGCTTTGAGGGACTTGTTGGAAGGGCATAATTGTGTTTTGAAATGTGAGGACATGAGACTTGGGAGGGGCCAGGCACAGAATGATAGGGTTTGGCCTTGTCTCCACCTAAATCTAATCTTGAATTGTAGTTCCCATAATCCCCATGTGTCTTGGTAGGGACCTAGTGAGAGGTTGAATCATAGGAGTGGTTACTCCCCATGCTGCTGTTCTCATGATAGTGAGTGAGTTCTCACAAGATCTGATGATTTTATAAAGAGTTTTTCCCCTTTTGCCCTTTTTCTCTCTTCTGCTGCCATCTGAAGAAGGATATGTTTGCTTCCCTTTCTGCCATAATTGTAAGTTTCCTGAAGCCTCCCCAGCCTTGCGGAACTGTGAGTCAATTAAACTTCTTTCCTTTATAAATTACCCAGTCTCAGGTACGTCTTTATTAGCAGCATGAGAATGGACTAATATACCTTCTCTCATGTTAACTGCCCTCTTGGATCAGACGTTGTAGAGATAATTTATCTTGTTCCCAACATAATTTTTCTCTTGAGGGGTGGTTTTGAGGTTAGTGGTCTGAGTTCACACTCATCAAAATCTGAGCTTATTCTAGCATTAAGGTCTGCTTTGGCATTCTCTTTTAATTTCATTTTAGCTATTACAGATTACAATAAGCAATGGATTATATATTTTTCTTTTAAAAATTAGTTTGCATTTCTTTATGGATCTTGTGAACCAGCTCTCTGGGGGTTGGATTTGTATCTAAATTATAGAAAATTTGAATGATCCTGGGAAGACAGGAGGCTTTTCTCTCCAGCAATTTGCAGAGTTGGGTCTGTAGTTAAGATCAAGAGCAGTTGACAGAATTGGTAGCAGCACAAGAGATCATGAGCCACCTAAGGTGACCTAACTGAGTTGTTTCTGGAGATCTAATTTTTTTTTTTTTAGATGGAATCTCACTCTGTCGGTCAGGCTGGAGTGCAGTGGTGCCATCTCAGCTCACTGTAACCTCTGCTGCCTGGGTTCAAGCAATTCTCCTGCCTCAGCCTCCTGAGTAGCTGGGATTAGAGGTGCCTGCCACTGCACCTGGCTAATTTTTGTAGTTTTAGTAGAGACGGGATTTCACCATCTTGGCCAGGCTGGTCTTGAACTCCTGACCTCATGATCTACCCTCCTCAGCCTCCCAAAGTGCTGGGATTACAGGCATGAGCCACCACGCCCAGCCTCTAATTTCTTTTTTTAAAATTTAATTTAATATTAAGTTCCGGGATGCATTTGCAGGACGTGCAGGTTTGTTACATAGGTAAATGTATGTCATGGTGGTTTGCTGCACCTATTAACCCACCACGTAGGTATTAAGCCCCACATGCATTAGCTATTTATCCTGATGCTCTTCCCACCTATCCCCGACAGGTCCCAGTGTGTGTGGTTCCCCTCCCTGTGTCCATGTGTTTTCATTGTTCAGCTCCCACTTATAAGTGAGAACATGCAGTGTTTGGTCTTCTGTTCGTGTGTTAGTTTGCTGAGAATGATGGCTTCCAGCTCCATCCATGTCTCTGCAAAGGATGTGATCTTGTTCCTTTTCATGGCTGTGTAGTACTCAGTGGTGTATATGTACCACATTTTCTTTATCCAGTCTATCATTGATAGGCATTGGGGTTGATTCCATGCCTTTGCTATTGTGAATAGTGCTGCAAAGTACATATGTGTGCATGTATCTTTATAATAAAATGATTTATATTCCTTTGGGTATAAACCCAGTAATGGGATTGCTGGGTCAAATGGTATTTCTGGTTCTAGGTCTTTGAGGAATTGCCACACTGTCTTACACAATGGTTGAACTCAGGCATCCTATAAAATGGGAGAAAATTTTTGCAATCTATCCATCTGACAAAGGTCTAATATCCAGAATCTATAAGGAGCATCACTGATTATTAGAGAAATGCAAATCAAAACCAGAATGAGATAACATCTCACACCAGTCAGAATGGCCATTATTAAAAAGTCAAGAAATAATAGATGCTAGCAAGGCTTTGGAGAAATAGGAAACAGCTTTTACACTCTTGGTGAGATCTGATTTCTTAATTAACTTAGATACTAATTTATTAATAGACAGGAAACTAATTTCTAATTTCTTAACAGATACATACTGGCTTCTCAGCCAGGCTACTGACCTTTACCCCTTACATACACACCTTAACTTCTGTATGAACATGGATGTGACTGCATTGGGTAAGAGAGGGGAGAGGTGGTGGGCAGCAGAAGGGTGGCCTCTTTGAGGAAGATGTGGGTAAGGATAGCAGGATTCTACTTAGGGGTAGACAGAGCAGTGAACTTTCTGTGGATCAGAGACCTGGGTTTTGATTCTATGCTTGTACTGTCAGAGTATGCATATTCCATGTAGATTGTAGCCTGTGGCAGAGAGAAGAAAGTAGTCATCCTTCAATGCCTTCTCATCAGCTTCAAGATAATATGCCATTCATTCAAAATATTTTTATTGATCTCTTAGTGTATGCAAGAAAATATGTGGAAGGCAGTGGTGACTTAGAGACTCTAAGAAACTGGTTTGACTATAGGGTGGCAATCGGGGGAACAGTATTATTAACAGCCTAGAGAGGTTGGTGTGGTCTTGTGGGTTGTATTTGGACTTTAACAGTAACAGAGGAGCACTGCAGCTATTTAAGCAGGAGAGACTCTCTTGTCTTTCTCTGAGATTCTCTCCCTATGTCTCTAAATCTGTTTCTCTGCAGAGAAACAGATTTTATCCATATGCTCTTTATCCATACAGCCTTTATCTATAAGCTCTTCATCTGTTTCTCTTTGTTTCTCTGCTTCTCTGTCTCTTTTTGTCTCTCTACTGCTTTGTTTCTCTCCATTACTGTTATTGTAGCAGTATCTATATATCTCTCTGGGTCTCTTTCCAGCACTAGACCTCCCTGTGCCTTTAAGGAAATAAAGGAGCATAGGGCATTGGACCTGAAGCAGTATCTTTTGTTTCTTACCCTCTACTAGATCTTGCTGTCTGCCCTTGTCTCTGCGTATTAGTGAGCGTCCTCTCCTGACTCAACAAAGAAAGTAAGAGAATGAAGTGTATAGAACTGAAAATGCCTTGACGTATTCTTTTTCTCAAATGTGTCCAGATTTTTCCAAAAAGATTGAGCTTTAGAATTTATGTGATATCTAACCAAAGTGAACAAGTTCTGTGTCCCCAAAAACTCAGGATCCACCTCTATGACAAGGAGGAGCTCAGATAATCCATAATATTCCAATTCTTACCACTATTAAAACAGTTCTATTTAGCATCCAATACTAGGTTCATAATTCTGAACATCAGAATCTCAGAAGGTTTTCTGCATTCATAAATATTTTACTGTTTTTAAGAGGGTTCAATGTATTGGTTTTTGATACTTCAAAAATGATCGTGTACATGTGGTAGATGTATCAGGGTCCTTTGGTTGTAAAAAACAGAAAATACCTCTGGCCATCTTAAGAAAAATAAATTTTGGTTCAACCATTGTGGAAGTCAGTGTGGCGATTCCTCAGGGATCTAGAACTAGAAATACCATTTGACCCAGCCATCCCATTACTGGGTATATACCCAAAGGATTACAAAACATGCTGCTATAAAGACACATGCACACGTATGTTTATTGTGGCACTATTAACAATAGCAAAGACTTGGAACCAACCCAAATGTCCAACAATGATAGACTGGATTAAGAAAATGTGGCACATATACACCATGGGATACTATGCAGCCATAAAAAATGATGAGTTCATGTCCTTTGTAGGGACATGGATGAAACTGGAAACCATCATTCTCAGCAAACTATCGCAAGGACAAAAAACCAAACACTGCATGTTCTCACTCATAGGTGAGAATTGAACAATGAGAATACATGGACACAGGAAGGGGAAGATCACACACCGGGGACTGTTGTGAGGTGGGGGGAGAAGGGAGGGATAGCATTAGTAGATATACCTAATGCTAAATGACAGTTAATGGGTGCAGCACACCAGCATGGCACATGTATACATATGTAACAAACCTGCACATTGTGCACATGTACCCTAAAACTAAAAGTATAATAATAATTTAAAAAAAAGAAAAATCAATTGGAGAAGATAAAATTTTATAATTAAAAAAAGAAAAATAAATTTTGGAAAGATACAGTGAGTACCCCACCAAATGAAAGAACCAGTAGGACCATCAGGTTACTGGAGTAAAATGAATCAGGGTAGGCCTGGGGAATTCAGATTGGAAGTAACAGGTAACCCCATTTGGACAATACCATCTGTTGAAGATTCAAAGCACTAAGAAAAACTGACTTGTTGAAATTGGATCACTTGTTCACCCTTGTGATCAGTTTCATGGTCAAGAACTCACTGGAACTGTATGGAATAGGAATAGCCGTTCTCATGAATGTTCACAAATAGAGAAGAACAAGGGATGGCAACTTCTGTTATAGCAACTCATTATTAACTGCCTGTTTGATTATGGTATTCTATTCCTCTCTCTGCCAGGGAATAGAAAGTTTTTGCGTTTTGCTTGAGAATTGGGAAACATGAAGAACAGTGACTGAGTAAGGGGCTGGGTGTTATTTATAGCATGATTATAAATCTTTTATATTTGAAGGATTTTCAAGTTCCCCTTTGATTCCTTGAGTTGTTACATTTGAAATTCAAGGTGGTAAGTTGATTATGAGACCCTTCATTCTCCTTCTTCTACACTTGAGATCTGACCAAACACAAAAAGGGATAGGTTGCCAAAAGGAGGGCTTTGTTTAACTTTTTTGGAGTATTAGAACCTTATGGGTCTAAAAAAATATTTACATTAAGAAAATATTGACCATGAAGGAGAGCATGTAAACTCTGTAAAACAATGAAAACAAACAAGACAGAAGTTTCCAGTTTCCCCATTGCTTTCTACCTTTGTCCTCTTTTCTTATTCTTTCCTATTCTTTTATTCTTTTTTCCTTCTTTCTTTCTTTCTTTCCTCCCTTCCTCTCTCTTTTCCTTTCTTTCTTCCTCTCTCTCTCCCCACCCCATGAACCTTGACTAACTAACAAACCTCAAGGCTTGCAAAAATCATTCTCAAAAAATACTTTTCTGATGATTATTGACATGAAAGGGGCATGAAAGCAGGTATAAGCCCCCAACTGAGATTTTAAAATAGAAAGCTGTTGCCTTAGCCAAAACAAGGTAACGAGGATGTGTACTCCACTTCCTCTATCCTGTAAAAACTCTGATCTGACTTCAGTAAGGAGATCTCAATGCTCATCACCTGAATAAAGTCTTTAGCCTTTGAGTCACATCATTTTCATTTGACAGTCTTTGTCAGTGATTCCCGAATAGCACATGTGTAAAAATACATCTATCCTCCCAGATTTTGGGATTGATGGATGTGGCCTTGGATGAACAAAGTCCCAGTGGCCAATCTTCCCTGGTGAAAGTCAGCCTTGTACATCTAACTTAAAGTGTGCTATGAAATGAAAATGTTTTGGAAGCACTGCCTGTTCTCCCCTATCGCCACGCACACTGCTGGTCTCTCTTGGTTGCCAGGCACTGGTTTAGGTTCTGAGCAGAATACTCCACAGTGTTCTCTACAGTGTGTTGTAGAATAGGAGGGTCCTGGCAACCTGAGGCAGAGCTGGTGTTACAGAGTACCTGCCTACTGCTATAAAGTTTTACTTTATACGAATTCTGGAGAAGCTGAGTGAGGCCATGTCTGTTACCAGGAGACATGAGACTCACAGCAGATCTCTCTGGCTTAACATGGGAGATGGCGGTAAGTGCAGCTATATCTGAATTTTTTTAATAGTTAAAAGCTGACTTTATCCAAATAGGGATTAATGTATTTTCCATAAGAAGTTCTGTTCTAGGTAGAAAAAAAGTGAAGATTTTGGTTAGGTTAAACTGATTTTTAAAGTATAGGAAGAGTTACAGATTTTTTTCTTATTGAGTCTAGTCTTGAGAACAATTTATCAAGAACTCCAAATTTAAAGGCAATTAGTTAATTAAAAACTTGAAAGATCTAACTCTTTGAGTTTAAACTGGACTCATTAGAAAACAAATGGAAGAAAAAGGTATCTAAATGTTCATAATGACTTGTGTCTGACATTAAAACAAGGATTCAGTCACTAGAAGATATGTCAAAGTCCATCAGTACCAAATGGATAAAGCCAAAATAACTTTAAAACTATATCACATGAATGAAGACTTGCCATAGCAATAAAGTAGAGTTTGGATGAAGACGTCCATCTTCGGGAAAACCCAAAATAGCTTTTACAAAAAACTGAAGGATGAAATAAAAGATTAAGCCAACAGAAATAAACATATTGAAAATATCTCAATAAACAGAAATAACTTAGAGTGAGTCAGAACTGAGAACACCTAGAACAAGTTCCAAAGAACAAGAAAAGTCAGAGCAAATCTCTGACACTTGGAGAAGATAAAACAGATGCAGGTATGTTAGAGTGGATGTAATAAACAAATCAGAACATGTATATTACTTAGATAGCTCTCAATAATCTGATTTATGCTTTTGTAAAACCTTTGGAGAGGACACAAACAAAATATAGTCTGAATTATCTGAAAAGAATAAAAGGAACACTTAAAATCATATTAAGCATATAAAATAAATCAAGAATCTTTGGACCAGAAAATGCACAGTATGAAAATTAGCTTCAAAATCTCCAGGACAGAGATTAAGTAATTACTGATATATATCAAGAAAATGAAATAAAACTTCAGATCATTTACATATTTATACATCTTAAAGTAGAAGAAGATAACCTTCCTCATTGATTCTACCTTCAAATAGACCTGCTTATTATTATTATTTTTTAATGTTTTTGTAGAGATGGAGTCTTGCTATTTTGCCCAGGCTAGTCTTGAACTCCTGGGCTCAAGCGATCTTCCTGCCTCTGCCTCCCAAGTGCTGGGATTACAGATATGAGCCACCGCAACTGGCCCTGAACCTACTTTTAACATCCAGGAAAAATAGCCATATCATTGTTGTCCTAAAGTAATTAAAAATTCTCTCTATTCTAGTTTCGTTGCTGTTAAATTGTTATACAGGAGTTCAAATTGAAGCTTAATAGAATTAAAACTCTTAGGATGGTGTTTTCTAAATATATATTACTTAAATGTTGGGGAAGAGAAATAATTTTAATTTCTAGATAGTACATGTACAATATTCTGTTTTTTAAATAAGTTATACTGGGAGATTTATAAAGGCAGTTGAACAATCAAAGACATTTGGAACTAAATTTCTGTATATCAAGTGCTGTATTTACTATAGTTAAAACACAAGTATGAAAACAATGGAATGTTTATATACAAATGACTTTTATAAATGACTATTTCAATTGATTTAAGAAGTCATTTGATGAAAATGATAAAATAGTTAGAGATATAGTGGGAAAAAAAGAGACCCACGGGGAAACACCATGATAGACTGAGCCAAATGTAGAGCTCAGCTCTTCCTCCCCCAGGATCATAACATATCACCAGATAAACCTTTGAAAAAAAACGAAATGCAACAAAACAAAAAGAAAATCCAGAAAAGAAAATCGTTAGTTTTCTATATTTCATAATTTCTGTACTTTCCCTCTTCCCAGGTGTCTGTTCACACCTTCTCTGCTCTATCCAAGCGCACATCCTTTCCTTTTCTTCACTCCCAACTGATGCCTCTGCTTTTCAAAACTTCAGAGAAAATTGGAGAAATCAGAAAGGAATTTCTGTCAGATTTCAATACTACCTCAACACACCCACCTGCTTCTATATCCATGTATTCTACTTTCTGTCTGGTTCCTATTGATGAACTGTTTGTGCTCTAGCAAAGGCTGATCAATCCTCTGCTGCCCTGGATCCATCCCCTCACCGACCTAAAGACTTTGTTTCTGAGTTCACCCTCACTCTCCTGCTGTGTAATTTTGCATACTCTATAGGTCATTACCATAGAATACAAGCATGCTGCCATTACATCCATCTTACAGAAAAAAACTCTTTCTGCCTTCTCTTGACCTCCCTTTCCCTACAGCTATTGAATCATTTCTTCCTGCCTTCAGCAAAGCACTATTCATGAGTTTTCTATGCTTTCTGTCTCTAAGTTGTCTCCCACTGTTCTCTCTTGCTTCCATTCCAGTGTGGCTGTTGCCTTCTTTTTCTCTAGCAAAACTCCTCCCTTAGTGTCACAGATGACTTCCTTATTGCTAAATCCAATGGTCAGTTCTTAATCTTCATCTCACTTGACCTACTATACTAACAGCCTTTGACACAGCTCCTTCTTCTTTGATATACTTTAATACTTTCTTTTTTTTTTCTTTCACCCAAAGCAAGATTCCTCCTCCTATCTTGTCTGAAGGAGAGTGGCGAGAGCAGATTAAAGCATCCGTGAGGCAGCCTTCTAAAATTTCTCAGGAAGTGGTAGCCAGTGTGAAAATGTATCACCTCACCTTGCTTCATATTTCCCTTCTCTCAGTTCCCTTTTTTTCTCACCTTTGCTGCCCTCTATTTGCATTCCCAAATAAAACATTAATATTTCCTTTTTTGCCTCAAGCTCTGATTTTTAGAGAATCTAGGCTAAGAAACTCACTAAGGTCTTAAGGTAAAAGGCCCAGCAAACACACTGTTATTTTGCTCAATCACAGAACGCTCTAGCTATTCAAAAACTGTTTTCTCTTTCTCCTTCTTCCACATGCACATCCACTAAACCCCGGACCCCAAATTGACAGACCATTCCCAAAACAATAACTTCTGGGTATGTGCTGGCCCTGGCTGGTGGCTTTTCAGTGTAGAGTTCCATGGTTCTAAATTCTTGACTTCAGGAACTCTCCAAATTATATAAAATGGCAAACTCAGAACCAGTTATTTATACTTGAAATACATTTTTATGTATAAAGAAATAAATTTTAACATATTAAGGCATAGTCACAGGACAAATGACAAGTATTGTCATTGTACAGTTATCTAGTGTGTTTGGATTATAAAGGCACACAAGGATTTTTATGGTAGGGAAGACATTGCTATTGTTTTCAACAGAGAAATAGGAGGATTAGGCAGAGGAAGGGAATTAGGAGAAATTTCACCGAAAAAGCCCATGAAGCTTTGGGTAAGGCAGACGAGGCTGGATATGACAGGAAGAATTTGCTGGATACATTATGGTCTGCTGGCACCATCTGGTGTTGAACCCAAGAAAAAACGGAAGATGAAGAAAAAGCTTTCAGAAAGTAATGGAGCCAAGATGAGGCCCACTGAGGGTCTTGTTCAAGTGACATCGGGATCTCGTAACAGAACAAATGGCTGTCAAAGTAGCTGGAAAAGCCCTAGGCTATATCTCCTTAGGGCTCCTTCCTTCCCCAACTTTCCAGATGTCAGACCCTAACCTACCTCAGAGATAGCACTTTACCTTTCACCCTCTCTTACCCATGTTCCTCCAACTGGTGCCATTCCCATCTGACTATCCCATGCCCACACCCAGATCCAGAAGCTGGATAACCCCGCCTCCCTAAACAGCAGATGCCATGTTGGAGAGGTGAATGCAATTGGAATCACTGAGCATTTACTTCACGTTCTCATTTCCACCGATTTTACCTCATGCCTCACTATTTAATAATATAAAATTAAAGTAAAATCTTCCCTTCAAAAAAATTTTTAATGAAATAACATTGCTCTGAAAAAGATAGTTCAACATATGTCAAAATGGCCTTTTCTCTTATTATAAAAATGAAAATTTAAAACCATACATAATGAAACAAAAGGACACTAAAAACATTTTATCAAATATGTTTGTATATGTTCCTGTGCTTTTGTGTTTCTATGTGCACACCTATGCTTTGTGCACTAGAATGACTGCTGCTAGTCTCACTCTGACCCTGTAGGCTTACTCCCATGTAATAAAACATGCCTCTTGATATAGCAATATGCCCTGATTTATGGCAGTGCTTCTATGCCAGGAGCATTTTTGCTTCCTAGGGCATATTTGACAATGTCTGGAGGTATTTTTGCTTGTCACAACTTGGGGGGAAAGGAGATGCTACTAGCATCTAGTGCACAGAGGCCAAAGATACTGCTGAGCATCCTAAAATGCAGAAGAGAGACCCTGACAACAGAAAATTATCTGTTCCAAAATGTCCATAGGGCTAAGGGTGAGAAATTTTGATTTATAAAACACTGGTACCCATGTCCTGTTTGGATCTGAGCTCTTTTCCTTTTGCCAAGTGTGCATAGTTTCAAAGCAGGCCCCAGATGGAATTCTGTGAACTCTCTGTTTAATTGAAGATGGAAAAGATATCATTAATTACTAACTGCTGGTGAATGTCCCTTCTTGTGAATAACTGAAATAAAAAATCATGTTATCAAGTGTTAGAATGAGTGATTTGGCCTGTTCCCCCAGTTTGCCACAGCCTGCTCTAGAACACAGATACCTATTCCTTTTCAGTGCTTGAGTATATTTAAATAAAGCATGCCCTAATTTATAGTTAAGTTTTAAGTAATTCAAGAAGGGCTCTATACTTTTCTCTGAGTTGATCCAAAACAATGACTATTATATAATAAACAAGACCTTGTATACCAAAATTGTGTTTGAGGGCTTATATGTCTTTTTTTAATGAATAAATAAAAGGTGGAAACGGAAGGAAGGGAAGGAAAAAAGCAAGAAAGGAAGGAAGGCTAAAGAAAAGCACAGGAAGCCGGGGAGAGCGAGAAACAGAAATGATGTGACTCATGGAGATCTAAAAGGCATGGGGGAATATTGCCTTACATGGGCTCAAAAGAAGTCTGGAAAGAGATTGGAGAGGATAGAAAGCTCTGAGGCCAAGTGAAATACAGTAATGCAGATGGAGAAGATTACATCTCTTCCTTTACAGACTGGCAAAGTTCTTGAGTGAAAAATTATACAAGATGACCTTTAAAGTTGCTTTGTGAAAAAAGTTGAGCGCTGTGTACTCTGCTTCATTTTTTATGTGCCTAAGTCTCTGTTAAATAATCGCAGTGCTCCTTTCACGTCATTATTCCTCAGTGTGTAGATGAGAGGATTGAGGGTCGGGGTCACAACTGTATAGAAGAGGGAGATGAACTTCCCATGAGCATGGGCATAAGAACTGTTGGACTGGATGTAGACAGCTGTGATGGTCCCACAGAAGAGGGACACTACTATCAAATGGGATCCACATGTCCCCAGGCCTTTGCACCAGGCCTGGACTGACTTGATCCTTATGACCACCTTGGCTATATGTCCATAGGACAGCAGTATTAGCACTAAGGGCAAGAGGAGCAAGACCAGTGAAGCAACAAAGAGCTGAACCTCATTATCATGGATGTCCACACATGCAAGCTTAATCATGGAGGGTACCTCACGAAGAAATGTTGGAGCAATCGGTGTCCACAGCGAGGAAGCCAGAGGGTGACAGTGCCCTGGATAAGAGTGTTTCCCACTCCACTCAGCCACGCAACCCCTGCCAGAGCCTGGCACAGCTGAGGGTTCATTACGGCGGTATAGTGGAGAGGTTTGCAAACTGCAGCATAGCGATCAAAAGCCATTACAGCCAGGAGGACACACTCAGTGGAGCCCAATGCCAGGGAGATGTAGAGCTGGATGACACAACCCAGGAATGTGATTGTTTTGTCAGGTCCTTTTAGGTTCCACAGCAGCTGGGGGACAATACTGGTGGTAAAACAGATATCAACTAAGGAGAGGTGAGTAAGAAAAAATACATGGGTGTCTTGAGTTTAGGGTCTACAGAGCAGATCAGAATAATTACTGTATTTCCCACAAGGGTAAGGAGATAGGATATCAAAACAGCCACAAAGAGGATCTTTTCCAGGTGGGGCTGATGAGAGAAACCCACCAGGATGAAGTCTCCCTTGACACTGCTGTTGGTCATGCCCATCACCCTGTTCAGAACTAGGAGAAACACATTACAAGAATTCAGGGAGGATAATGTGTTGGCCATTGGGCAAAATATCAATCTTTAAAAAGTTTTGATTAATCTCTAATCAAAACACTGACTCAGAGATGTTACAGTGACCCATGGAATAAATTTTGATATAGAAATCACAAAAGAAGACCTTAAAGAAAATACATAATACAGAGAGATACATGAAGGCTATTGTGGAAGCAGTATTTTCCTGACTGATAACTATTAGAAGCTGAGATAAAGTGTATCACAGAAAAAATAAAGGCAGAAAGAAAGAAAATGTCAAAGGAATAAAGTACATTCAATTAATTTATAACTCAGGACAAATTGTTCAAATTCAGTGAAAAAACTCAGTAATGGTTAATATATGCAAATAATTAATATAAATAGCATTTCCATTCTTCAATTGTAAATTCTGAGTTGGGCATTTTTTAAGGTTTTTCTTTATATGAATGGTAGCTCGCTTCTGGAGATTATAGAGGTTATTTTTCCTATAAAATGGCAAACATTTGGCTATTGAAAGTAATAATATTAACATTTATAACTTAATGTTTAATTATATGGACACATACTTTCAATGACTTATTTTCTTTAGGGATTCGTTAACTCATTTAGTCCACCAGCATACTGATGACGTAAACTCATGCAGTTTATTCAGCAAAGATATTCTTATGCAAGCATTATGCAGCACACCTCATGTTTAGTCATCTAGTTTACCTTCTGGCCTATAAGCTGGATTCATCTATGATAGTCCTGATTTGCAAAGTTCTCCTTCTCTTCTTTGGTGTGTGGTGTTAGGGAAGGGAGTTAGCTCTCTGGTCTTGTGTGTTGAATGAAGAGGTAGTTGAATCTGAATGGAAAGAGTGGTGATCAGGGTAAGAAGGGCTCTTTAGTGAGACTAAGAGGCATCAAACCAACATAGAATGTTTATCTTCTAGAAGATGAAAAGATCAAAATTTTTAATCAGCTTTTTAAAAGTCCAAACACTTATAAATGCAGAAGTTTAAAATATATTCACAGATACAAAGTATATACCCAAATTTCACGACTTTACCTCATATATAGGACAAATAGGCACTTTCCACGTGGCATCAGGAAAAATTACTCCAGCCTAAAATTCTTCCCCTACAATAACTGTATATCCTGAAATTGCATTAATATTTGTTCTGAAAATTAGTCATTAAAGTAAAATATATAAGGTAATTTTCACTGCTTTTTTAATATTTATTTCACTTATCATCTAAAAATTGTACTTAGCAGTACTCAATGGAAATGAAAAGAAGTCACAGGAAAAGTCAGAGGAGGCATGGGTACCCCATAAAAGGATGAAGACACTGAGTGATCCCTCAAAATAGGGGGAGGAGAGCACAATAGTAAAAAGAGAACATGAAAGGACCCTTAAGGAATAAACCAGTTTATAAATATGCTACATGTAATATATTCAATATAACGTATACTAAATATATATAGTTCTAATAATTTCACTCACAGTTATACACATACATACCCATAAAAACATACATACATGCGTAAGTCTTCCGATTCTCTCATTTATGTTAATTCCCACCCATTTAGCTACACTAAATTGTACTCGTTTTACTTGTATCAAAGGAATAAAATAAAGCCAGACACACATCACTCTTGTTCTAATCTGTTTAATGCAGCCTGCTCATTGTCAATTTACCCATCCCAATCAAAGGAGACTTCTCCTGTATTTTTAACACACACTCACACACAATACCTCCAAAGAAACGCGATGAGAGATCAATTCACAGTCATGAACCAGCTCCTTATTTGTAGGAATATGTTTGTTTTAGGCTTGTAGAAGAATTTTATTTTACCATGATGCAAAATTTAACATGTGCACTATATAATCTCCCCTCACCCAGATGAACATCACTTTAAACCAGTTCGCCATTAAAAGTTAAGAATCATGGGCATGGTATAGAAATAAAATCAAAGCATAAAAAGAAATAAATATGTTACAAGAAAAAAAGTTTTCCACATTTTTTTCACACTAATAATCATATTTTAATACAGAAAGGAAGCTTAAGCCATAGAGTTCAAACCATTATTACCTTCAAGTGACAACTCAGTGTCTAAGGCTCATGTATTGGTTGTCGGGGCTGTTATTTGAGATTGGAGATCACTGAAGATCAGCAAATCAGGAGACACTGGCAAGGACGCAGGACACTGAATCCAAAAAGATCCCAGGGACACAGTTCTCCCAACATGCAATTAATATCAGGCTCTGTAGTATCCAAAGATGAAATGTCCCAGGAGATTATTCTGAAAGAAATAATTTTGACTCTCTGATCTTTCAATATTGTGTAAATCTAGGCAAAACCACAAAGATATTTAACTTCTGCCCTCATAGCCTCCCAACGTTCAATTTTCTCATTTCTGCTGTTAAGTTTCTATCAAAAATCTAGTATTTTATATATGCAAGTACATATAATTAATTTATCCTGTTGACTCATAACTTTAAATTCTCTTCTTAATAACTTTAAATTTTGGGGCACCTTGCCTTTACCTCACCTCTACTGAGACAAAAACGGCAGGCCTGCAGCCTTCCAACAGGGCCTTTTCCCTCATATCTAATAGGCACTTGACTGTTGCTGGAGATAAATATATAAATGTTTTGAACGGCGCCCTTAAACACCCCTGGTCTTTCTCAACTTCCAATGGGCTCTCTTCTGTCCAGAGGTCATTCTGTGTGTATCCTGTTTGTCTCTTGCATCACCATAGCAAATGTTCAACAAATTCTTAAATCCTCCAATCCAGTGTCCCACAGCTCTCCAAGCAGGTTATCTTGCCCTGACTTCCAAGACAAAACAGAGGGCCCAGGGGGAAATTCCATTAACTTCCTGTCTGTCACCTATAAATGTATATACATTCATACTCTTCCTTTATGATTTTTTTTCAGGTCTCAATAGAGGAAGTGAACCTCTATTTGTTTAAGGCAAATTCTATAAATATTTTAGGGTCCAAGAAAAATCTAATGCATATTCAAGTACAAGCAGGTGATATGAATGACTGAGTGGATAAGGTATAAGAAAAACAATTGTAGAAATGCAATGATAAGTGTCAACAAACATTTAGCTGAGGTCTATATGCAGTAATAAAAGAGTGGTGAACATTTTGCTGCACATGCCACATCTGAAGAAAACAACAACTGCTGAGCGCTAGTTGACCAATTTTCTATGCATTGAGCCCCAGGATTGCAAAATATTCTGAATTCTCAATGGAATCTAGATTTTTATGAAAGCTTTCATTTAAAAAAATAGTTTAGTTAGTGGGTGCAGCGCACCAGCATGGCACATGTATACATATGTAACTAACCTGCACAATGTGCACATGCACCCTAGAACTTAAAGTATAATAAAAAAAAGAAAAAAAGAAAAAAAAATGTTTGCTGAAGGCAAAAAAAAAAAAGTTTATATAAAATAGTTCATGAAGGTGCAACTTAATTATTACAAAGTGAACAAATTTTGATCAAGAAAACAATGTAAGAAACATTCTAGAATGACTCTCAATTTCATTTCCTTATGCTACTTATACCTGCCCCTTGTAACCATTATTATGATTTTTTTGAACTATATATAAACAAAATCATACAGCATTATTTCTTTTGTTTCTGCTTATATTTATTCAATGTTATCTTTGGGAGATTCATTTATGTGGTTGCATATACCAATACAGCACTATATTTTTACTGCATTGTATTTCATTGTATAAATATGCCACAACTATTTTATCCTTTGTAGTACTGATAGGCTAGACATTTGGGTGCTTATGATTTTTGTCTTTTGTGAATATTGCTGCTGCAGTCACTTTAGTATATGTGTTTGGTAAGAAATGTAAGCATTTTGGCAGGGACGATACTGTGGAGAAATTGCTTAGGTTTGAGGTATGCATATATTCAGCTTTGGTAGATACCACCAATTCTGGAAGTTGGTTGCACAAACTTAAACTCCACAGTATGGTGAGAATTACAGTTGCTCCAAATCTATACTAACAGTGTTTTCTGTCCTCTTAATTTTAGCCATTCTGGTGATATATCATGAATATATCATTATGATTTTAATTTGTACTCACCTACTAACTAATGAAGTTGACCAGTTTCTCTTATATTTATAGTCATTGAGAAATCTTTTGTGTAGTATCCATTCAAGTCCTTGACTTTTTCCAAATTCATTTGTAGGAAATTTTTATATATGCCAGAGGTTTAAAAAATAGAAGGCAAGTTTCAAATACTATTTTAGTCAAGTATAACTTTGGCAACAAAACAAAATTTTAAAATTGCATGATAGTCCCATGAATTAACATAGATTTGAAAATATTACCAATTAATTCAATTATTTAAAATATTCTACACACTGCTGAAAGTAAATTTATTCCAGAAAAAAATGAAATTCATTTTTTCATTGTGTTAGCAAAATAACACAATAAAGAAACAACATTTTATAATCATATCATCAGATAAAAAATCAAGTATTTGATGAGTCTCAAAATATATAAAAATAATAAAAATGACTTAGTAAGCTATGAAAAGAATGATAGATCCTAATCTGTTAAACAGGATCCGAAAACCCTTTCAGCAAGCATTATGAATATGTTGAAAATTTTCTCTTTGAAATTGAGGAAAAGACAAGGACACCTTCTATTTCCATTTCCATTCAAACTACTTTGTTGTAGAGACTTTAGCCAGTATAATAGGATAAGACAAGGAACAAGCAAGATTGCAGTAGAAGAAATAAAATTTCATTATTATATATATGATTATGTATGTAGAAAATTCAAAGTGATTACAACTATTCATAGATGATTCAAAATTGTATAGATATTAATTATATCTTTGATCTCTATATTCAGTGCTAACTCAATCAAAATTCAGACTATTTGTAAAATTTTCTAAGATTATTCTAAAATGTATATAGAATACCAAGTTGTATATAGAATATCAAGTATCATTAATTCTGAGACACTCTTGAAGAAAAAATTGTCAACAAAAAAGAGTCAAACTCCATGAAATATTTAAAGAGTTTTATTCTGAGCCAAATGTGAGTAATTGACGGCCTGAGGCGCAGTCTCAAGACATCCTGAGAACAAGTGCCCAAGGTGATTGAATTACAACTTGATTTACATTTTAGGAGCATGTAAAAAATCAGTCAATACATGTGGGGTCTGTGTTGGTTCAGTCATGAAAGGTGGAACAACTCAAAGTGGGGCCTTCCACATCAAAGGTAAATTCAAAGATTTTCTTATTGGCAATTGGTTGAAAAACTTGTTACTATTTAAATGCCTAGAATCAATAGAAAGGAGTGTCTGGATTAAAATAAGGGATTGTAGAGAACAAGGTTCTTATTATGTAGATGAAGTCTCATAAGTGGTCACCCTTACAAGCAATAGATGGGAAATATTTTGTATTCAGACCTTTAAAAGGTACTGGACTCTCAACTAAACTCTTCAGGATCAGAAAAAGACCTGGAAAGCAAAGGCGATTCGCTACAGAATGTAAATTTCCCCCACCAGAAGCAGCTTTGCAGGGACATACTCTCCTCCCTTTGGAATTCAGGCATAACTTACCAGCATTATTAACTTTAAAACAGAGATCTTAATTAAGACTGACAAAACAGATTCCTTATAGCAATAACATACCAAATTGCAACCTGACTCTAGTATAGCATCACATGATAGATAGCCAGTCCTGAAAGAAATCAAAGTATTTTACCCCAAAATAGATTTCTTTGACACCTTTTGGAATGCCTTTGAAAAGCTGTTGAAGTGGCATCGTTGTCTGGGGTAAATACCCAGGGTTCATCGTCTTGCACTAAGAAGATTAAGGACACGGACACATGTGGGTGTGTTAAGGAGCAGAGAGTTTAACAGGCAGAAGAAAGGAGAGAGGCAAGCAGCTCTCTCTCTCTCTCTCCCTCGTGAGAAAGAAGTTTTTGAAAGGGAAACAACTGGCTTGCGGCAGACCACAGCAGATTTTATAGGCAAGCTTGAGGAGGAGCCGGTGTCTGATTTACACAGGGTCACAGATTGGTTCTACCAGGTGTGACATTTACATAGCCCGCAGGGAAGTCTGGTTGACCCACCTTAATCTTATGGCCAGCACCATCTTGTCTGCTCCTTATTCTACACGTGGCTGACAAAGAGAAGGGAAGATGGAGCCACCATTTTGATCATGCTTAATCCCAGGTAGCCTTTTTCTATTAGCACAACTGCCAGCATTGATCAATGCAAACTTCCTGTTTGCTTGTCTATGTCTGCAGCTAGATTCTATACAGGCTGCTCTTTGTTAGAAAAAATGATTTGGGGGCTGCTTTTTATTAAAAGGAAAACCTTACCCAGGAAGGATTTCCTTACCCTCACTATCTGCCTAAATAATTTGTTTATAACACCTATATTATTGTTTCTTGTGGGGAAAATCTACATTCTGTATAGAATTCGCTACCCTTTCCAGGTCTTTTCCAGATCCAGGAGAGATTTAACTAATAGTCTGACACTTTTTAAGATCTCATAAGAGACATTTACTACTTAATTTTTTCTGAAGCCTGCCACCTGAAGACTTTATTTACATAACAAGAACCTTGGCTTCCACAACTCCCCCTATCTTAAACCCAAGCATTTCTGCTGACTTCGACTTTTTTTTTTCTAATAAAAACTTTATTTTAGGTTCAGGGGTACGTGTGAAGGTTTGTTACAGAAGGGAAACTGTGTCACAGGGGTTTGTTGTACAGATTATTTCATCACCCATGTATTATGCTCAGTATCCAATAGTTATCTTTTTCCCCTCCTACCCCTTCTCCCACCTTCCACCCTCAAGAAAATCTGTTTCTGTTTTTTCCTTCTTTGTGTTTATGAGTTCTCATAATTTAGCTCCCACTTATAAGTGAGAACATGTGGTATTTATTTATTTGTTCCTGCATTAGTTAGCTAAGGATAATGGCCTCTAGCTCCATCCATGCTCCCACAAAATACATGATCTTTTTTTTATAGCTGTATATACCACATTTTTAAAATCTAATTTGTCATTGGTAGGCATTTAGGTTGATTCCATGTCTTGCTTTTCTGGATAGTGCTGTGATGAACATTTACCTGCACATGTGCTGTATCCTTTTTTTTTTTTTTTTGAGACAGGATGTCACTCTCTCGCCCAGGCTGCGGCGCAGTGGCACAATCATGGCTCACTGCAGTCTTGACCTCCCCAGTCTCGGGTGATCCTCCCATCTCAGCTTCCCTGGTAGCTGGGACCACAGGCATGCACCACCACACCCGGCTAATTTTTGTATTTTTGGTAGAAATGCGGTTTGGCCATGTTGCCCACGCTGGTCTCAAAGTGCTTGGATTATAGCTGAGAGCTGCCGCACCTGGCCACATGTGTCTTTACAGTAAAATGATTTCTATTCTTCTGGGTGTATACCCAGTAATGGGATTGCTGGGTTGAATGGTAGTTTTGCTTTTAGCTCTTTGAGGAATAGCCATACTGTTTTCCACATTGGCTTAACCAATTTATACTCCCATCAACAGCATATAAGTGTTCCCTTTTCTCTGCAACCTTGCCAGCATCTGTTATTTTTTTACGTTTTAATAATAGCCATTCTGACTGGTGTGAGATGGTATCTCATTCTGGATTTGATTTGCATTTCTCTGATGACCAGTGATATTGAGCTTTTTTTTTTTTTCATATGCTTACTGGCCACATGTATGTGTTCTTTGGAAAAGTGTCTGTTCATGTCCTTTGCCCACTTTTTAATGGGGTTGTTTGTTTTTCTCTCATAAATTTGTTTAAGTTCCTCATAGAAGCTGGATATTAGCTAGTTATCCCAGCATGTTTGATGGAATAGGGAGTCTTTTCCCCTTTGTTTTTGTCAGTTTTGTTGAAGATCAACTGGTCATAGGTGTGCATTCTTATTTCTGGGCTCTCTATTCTGTTCCATTGGTCTATGTACCTGTTTTTGTACCAGTACAATGCTGTTTGGTTACCATAGTTCTGTAGTGTAGTTTAAAGTTGGGTGATGCCTCTAGCTTTGTTCTTTTTGCTTTGGATTGCCTTTGCTATTCGGGCTTTGTTTTTGTTCCATATGAAATTTAAAATAGATTTTCCTAGTTCTGCAAAGAATGTTGTTGGTATTTTGATAGGAATATCATTGAATATGTAAATTGCTTTGGGCAGTATGGCCATTTTAATAATATTGATTCTTCCTATCCACGAGCATGGGATGTTATTCCATTTGTTTGTGTCTTCTCTGATTTCTTTAAGCACGGATCTGATTTCTTTGTAATTCTCATTGTAGAGATCTTTCACCTACCTGGTTAGCTGTACCCCTAAGTATTCTATCCTTTCTGTGGCAATTGTAATTCCCAAATTAGAAAAGGATTGCCTTTCTAATTTGGCTCTTGGCTTGGCTGTTGGTGTATAGTAATGCTAGTGATTTTTGTATATGGATTTGTATTCTGAAACTTTGCTGAAGTTGTGTATCAGCTGAAGGAGCTTTTATGCTGAGGCAATGGGGTTTTCTAGATATAGTATCATGTGGTCTGCAAACAGATAGTTTGCCTTTCTTTCTTCCTATTTACATGCCATTTTTTTCTTTCTCTTGCCTGATTACTCTGGTTAGGAGCAATTCCTATATATATGTGTGTGTGTGTGTATATACACACTTTATATATATATACTTTATATATGTATATACTTTATATATACTTTATATATGTATATATACTTTATATATACTTTATATATATACTTTATACATATATATTATATATTATATATTTTAAGTTCTGAGATACATGTGTAGACGTGGAGGTTTGTTACATAGGTATACACGTGCCATGGTGATTGATGCACCCATCAACCTGTCATCTACATTAGGTATTTCTCCTAATGCTATCCCTCCCCTGGCCCCCCACCCCCTAAAAGACCACAGTGTGTGATGCTCCCCTCCCTGTGTCCATATGTTTTTATTTTTCAACTCCCAGTTATGAGTGAGGACATGCAGTGTTTGGTTTTCTGTTCCTGTGTTAGTTTGCTGTGAACGATGATTTCCAGCTTCATCCATGTCCCTGCAAAGGACATGAACTCATCCTTTTTTTTATGGCTGCATAATATTCCATGGGTTATATGTGCCACATTTTCTTTATCCAGACTATCATTGATGGGCATTTGGGTTGGTTCCAAGTCTTTGCTATTGTAAACAGTGCTGCAATAAACATACGTGTGCTTGTGTCTTTATATTAGAATGATTTATAATCCTTTGGGTATATACCCAGTAATGGGAATGCTGGGTCAAATGGTATTGCTGGTTCTAGATCCTTGAGGAATTGCTGCACTGTCTTCTACAATGGTTGAACTAATTTTCACTCCCAAGAACAGTATAAAAGCATTCCTATTTCTCCATATCCTCTCCAGTATCTGTAGTTTCCTAACTTTTTAATGATCGCCATTCTAACTGGCATGAGGTGGTACCTCACTGTGGTTTTGATTTGCATTTCTCTAATGACCAGTGATGATGAGCTTTTTTTCATGTTTGTTGGCCACATATATGTCTTCTTTGGAGAAGTGTTGATTCATTTGCTTCACCCACTTTTTGATGGGGTTGTTTGTTTTCTTCTTGTAAATTTGTTTAAGTTCCTTGTAGATTCTGGATATTGGCCCTTTGTCAGATGGATAGATTGCAAAAATTGTCTCCCATTCTGTAGGTTACCTTTTCACTCTGTTGTTAGTTTCTTTTGCTGTGCAGAAGTTCTTTACTTTAATTAGATCTGATTTGTCTATTTTGGCTTTTGTTGCCATTGCTTTGGTGTTTTAGTCATGAAGTCTTTGCCCATCCTGAATGGTATTGCCTAGGTTTTCTTCTAGGGTTTTTATGTTTTTAGGTCTTATATTTAAGTCTTTAATTCATCTTGAGTTAGTTTTTGTATAAGGTGTAAAGAAGGGGTCCAGTTTCAGCTTTTTGCATATGGCCAGCCAGTTTTTTCAATACCATTTATTAAATAGGGAATCCTTTCCCCATTGCTTGTTTTTTGTCAGGTTTGTCAAAGATCAGATGGTAGTAGACATGTGGCATTATTTCTGAGGCCTCTATTTTGTTCCATTGGTCTATATATCTGTTTTGGTACCAGTACCATGCTGTTTTGGTTACTGTACCCTTTTAGTATAGTTTGAAGTCAGGTAGTGTGATGCCTCTAGCTTTGTTCTTTTTGCTTAGGATTGTCTTGGCAATACGGGATGGGCTCTTTTTTGGTTCCATATGAAATTTAAAGTAGTTTTTTCTAATTCTGTGAAGAAAGTCAGTGGTAGCTTGATGGGGATAGCATTGAATCTATAAATTACTTTGGGCAGTATGGCCTTTTTCACTATATTGATTCTTTCTATCCATGATCATGGAATGATTTTCCATTTGTTTATGTCCTCTGTTATTTCCTTGAGAAGTGGTTTGTAGTTGTCCTTGAAGAGGTCCTTCACATCCCTTGTAAGTTGTATTCCTAGGTATTTTATTCTCTTTGTAGCAATTGTGAATGGGAGCTCATTCATGATTTGGCTTTCTGTTTGTCTATTATTGGTGTATAGAAATGCCTGTGATTTTTGCACATTGATTATGTATCCTAAGACTTTGCTGAAGTTGCTTATCAGCTTAAGGAGATTTTGGGCTGAGGTGATGGGGTTTCCTAAATATACAATCATGTTATCTGCAAACAGATACAATTTGACTTCCTCTCCTCCTAATTGAATATGCTTTATTTCTTTCTCTTGCCTGATTGCCCTGGCCAGAACTTCCAATACTGTGTTGAATAGGAGTTGTGAGAGAGGGCATCCTTGTCTCGTGCTGGTTTTCAAAGGGAATGCTTCCAGCTTTTGCCCATTCGGTATGATATTAGCTGTGGGTTTGTCATAAATACCTCTTACTATTTTTAGATATGTTCCATCAATACCTAGTTTATTGAGTGTTTTTAGAATCAAGGGTTGTTGAATTTTATCAAAAGCCTTTTCTGCAGCTATTGAAATAATCATGGGGTTTTTATCATTGGTTCTGTTTATGTGATGGATTATGTTTATTGATTTGTGTATGTTGAACCACCCTTGCATCTCAGGGATGAAGCTGACTTGATCATGGTGAATAAGCTTTTTGATGTACTGCTTGATTTGGTTTGCCAGTATTTTATTGAGGATTTTTGCATCAATGTTCATAATGGATATTGGCCTGAAATTTTCTTTTTTCATTGTGTCTCTGCCAGGCTTTGGTATCAGAATGATGCTGGCCTCATAAAATGAGTTAGGGAAGAGTCCCTCTTTTTCTATTGTTTAGAATAGTTTCAGAAGGAATGATAGCAGCTCTTCTTTGTGCCTCTGGTACAATTCGGCTGTTTATCCATCTGGTCCTAGGCTTTTTTTGTTGGTAGGCTATTAATTACTGCCTCAATTTCAGAACTTGTTATTGGTCTATTCAGGAACTGGATTTCTTCTTAGTTTAGTCTTGGGAGGATGTATGTGTCCAGGAATTTATCCCTTTCTTCTAGATTTTCTAATTTATTTGCATAGAGGTGTTTACAGTATTCTCTGGTGGTAATTTGTATTTCTGTGGGATCAGTGGTAATATCTCCTTTATCATTTTTTATTCTGTCTATTTGATTCTTCTCTCTTTTCTTCTTTATTAGTCTGGCTAGTAGTTTATCTATTTTGTTAATCTTTTCAAGAAACCGACTCCTGGATTCATTGATTTTTGAAGGATTTTTCATGTCTCTATCTCCTTCAGTTCTGCTCTGTTCTTAGTTATTTCTTATCTTCTGCTAGCTTTTGACTTTGTTTACTCTTGCTTCTCTGGTTCTTTTAATTGTGATGGTAGGGCGTTGATTTTAGATCTCTCCCCCTTCCTCCTGTGGGCATGTAGTGCTATAAATTTCCCTGTAAACACTGCTTTAGCTGTGTCCCAGAGATTCTGGTATGTTGTGTCTTTGTTCTCATTGGTTTCAAAGAATCTATTTATTTCTGCCATAATTTTGTTATTTACCCAGTAGTCATTCAGGAGCACATTGTTCAGTTTCCATACAGTTTTACAGTTTTGAGTGAGTTTCTTAATCCTGAGTTCGAATTTGATTAAACTGTGGTCTGAGAGACTGTTTGTTATGATTCCCATTCTTTTGCATTTTCTGAGGAGAGTTTTACTTCCAATTATGTGGTCAATTTTAGAATAAGTGCTATGTGGTGCTGAGAATAATGTATGTTCTGTTGATTTGGGGTGGAGAGTTCTATAGATGTCTATTAGGTCCACTTGGTCCAGAGCTGAGTTCAAGTCCTTAATATTCTTGTTAATCTTCTGTCTAATTGATCTGTCTAATATTAACAGTGGGGTGTTAAAGTCTCCCACTATTATTGTATGGGAGTCTAAGTCTCTTTGTAGGTCTCTAAGAACTTGCTTTATGAATTTGGGTATTCTTGTATTGGGTGCATATATATTTAGGATAGTTGCATTGATCCCTTTACCATTATGTATTGCCCTTCTTTGTCTTCTTTGATCTTTGTTGGTTTAAAGTCTGTTTTATCAGAGACTGGGATTGCAACCCTTGAAGTCTTTTGCTTTGCATTTGCTTGGTAGATGTTCCTCCATTCCTTTACTTTGAGCCTATGTGTGTCTTTGCACATGAGATGGGTCTCCTGAATACAGCACACTGATGGGTCTTGACTCTTTTTCCAGTTGGCCAGTCTGTGTCTCTTAATTGGGGCATTTAGCTCATTTACATTTAAGGTTAGTATTGTTATGTGTGAATTTTATCCTGTCATTATGATGCTAACTGGTTATTTTGCCCATTAGTTAATGCACTTTTTTCATAATGTCGATCATCTTTACAATATGGTATGTTTTTGCAGTGGCTGGTACCGGCTTTTCCTTTCCCCATTTATTGCTTCCTTTAGAAGCTCTTGTAAGGTAGGCCTGGGGGTGACAAAATCTCTCATTATTTGCTGTCTGTAAAGAGTTTTATTTCTCCTTTGCTTATGAAGCTTAGTTTGGCTGGGTATAGAATTCTGGGTTGAGAATTCTTTTCTTTTAGAATGTTGAATATTGGCCCCCACTTTCTTCTGGCTTGTAGGGTTTCTGCAGAGAGATCTGCTGTTAGTCTGAGAGGCTTCTTTTTGTTGGTATTCTGACCTTTCTCTCTGGCTGCCCTTAATATTTTTTCCTTCATTTCAACCTTGGTGAATCTGACAATTACATGTTTTTGGGTTGCTCTTCTTGAGGAGTATCTTTGTGGTGTTCTCTCTATCTCCTGAATTTGAATGTTGGCCTGTCTTGCTAGGCTGGGGAAGGTCTCCTGGATAATATCCTGAAGAGTGTTTTCCAACTTGGTTCCATTCTTCTAGTCACTTTCAGGTATACCAATCAAATGTAGGTTTGGTCTTTTCACATAGTCCCATATTTCTTGGATGCTTTGTTCATTCCTTTTCATTCTCTTTTCTCTAATCTTGGCTTCATGCTTTATTTCATTAATTTGATCTTCCATCTCTTATATACTTTCTTCCACTTGATTGATTCAGCTATTGATACTTGTGTATTCTTTACGAAGTTCTCGTGGTGTGTTTTTCAGCTCCATCAGGTTATTTATATTCTTCTCTAAATTGGTATTCTAGTTAGCAATTCCTCTAAACATTTTTCAAGGTTTTTAGCTTCCTTGCATTGGGTTAGAACATGCTCCTTTAGCTCAGAGGAGTTTGTTATTACCCACCTTCTGAAGCCTACTTCTGTCAATTTGTCAAATTCATTCTCGATCCAGTTTTGTTCCCTTGCTGGTGAGGATTTGTGATCTTTGGAGTAGAAGAGGTGCTCTGATTTTTGGTATTTTCAGCCTTTTTGTGCTGTTTTTTTTTTCTCATCTTCATGGATTTATATACCTTTGGCTTTTGATGTTGGTGACCTTCAGATGGGATCCTGAGTAGACATTTTTCTCTTGATGTTGATACTATTCCTTTCTGTTTGTTAGTATTTCTTCTAACCATCAGGCCTCTCTGCTGCAGGTCTCCTGGAGTTTGCTGGAGGTCCACTCCAGACCCTGTTCACCTGGGTATCACCAGCAGAGGTTGCCGGACAGCACAGATTGCTGCCTGTTCCTTCCTCTGGAAGCTTTGTTTAGGAGGGGCACCTGCTGGATGCCAGCTGGAGCTCTCCTGTATGAGGTGTCTGTCGATCCCTGCTGGGAGGTGTCTTTCAGTCAGGAGGCATGGGGGTCAGCGACCCACTTGAGGAGGCAGTCTGTTCCTTAGCAGAGCTCGGGCACTGTGCTGGGTGATCCACTGCTCTCCTCAGAGCTGGCAGTCACGAATGTTTAAGTCTCGAATTTGTTAATTCTTAATAAAAATGATACACATTTCTCATGTGCTCACATGATCACAGCTGTACTGTTAATATAATATGTAGCTGAATGAGAAAATAGTTAATTGAAAAAGTGATTATGATGTGAATAATGCTTTTTAGTAATTTCTTTGTCAATTAAATATTTTTCAGTTTTTATTGTTAATTAAGAAATTGATACACAACTATTGTACATGTTTCTGAGGTGCTTGTGATATTTTGATAAATCTCTATGATAACAATAATTTATTGTTTATTTCAAAATAGCTAGAAGAAAGACTTAGCATGTTCCCGACACAAATAAATGCTATATTTCTTTTTTCCCCCACTAAATATTATGTTTAATGTTTTACTGGTTCATGTAAAAATGTATTTATTTTCACTTCTGACTTGAACATGAGTTGCTTTCAAAGTTACGTTATCTCTGTTACCATAATTATTATTGGACACATTAATAGTTTAGTTTTATGATTACTCTTTTATCATCTGTGTATTCAGAGATCAGTTTACCCTACTTTTGAGATAAGAATAAATGGAAAACATGAATCCTACAAACTGGTTATGACAATCAATGGTAGCAGTACATTTTAAAGAAATATCACTGACCCCAAAAATCCATCAGAGACTATTTCGAGCACCTCTATGCACAAAAACTAGAAAACCTAAAAGAAATGGCTGAATTCCTAGAAACACACTACCTTTCAAGATTCAACCAAGAAGACAGTAAAACCCTGAACAGACCAATAATGAGTTCTGAAATTGAATCAGTAATTTAAAAACTTACAAATCAGAAAAAGCCCTGTACCAGGCAAATTCACAGCTGAATTCCACTAGACATATAAAGAAGTGCTGGTACCAATTCTACTGAAACTATTCCAAAAAATAGAGGAGAAGTTACTCCTCCATGTTATACATGTCCATGTGAAGAGACCACCAAACAGGCTTTGTGTGAGCAATAAAGCTTTTAATCACCTGGGTGCAGGCAGACTGAATCCGAAAAAGGAGTCAGCAAAGGGAGATGGGGTGGGGCAGTTTTCTAGGATTTGTGTAGGTAGTGGAAAATTACTGTTAAAGGGGGTTGTTCTCTTGCAGGCAGGGGCAGGGGTCACAAGGTGCTCAGTGGGGAGCTCCTGAGATTCACTGTCCAGGAGAAGGAGTGTCACAAGGTCAATGCTCAGTTAGGGTGGGACTGGAACAAATCACAGTGGTGGAATGTCATCAATTAAGGCAGGAACTGGCTATTTTCACTTCTTTTATGGTTCTTCAGTTGCTTCAGGCCATCTGGATGTATATGTGCAGGTCACAGGGGATATGATGGCTTAGCTTGGGCTCAGAGGCCTGACATTACTGTCTTCTTATATTAATAAGAAAAACAAAACAAAATAGTGGTGATGTGTTGGGGGCAGCAAAAATTTTGGGGGGGGTGGTATGGAGAGATAATGGGCAATGTTTCTCAGGGCTGCTTCAGGCAGGATTAGGGGTGGCATGGGAACCTAGAGTGGGAGAGATTAAATTGAAGAAACATTTTGTGGTAAGGGGTGATATCGTGGGGTTGTTGGAAGGAGCATTTGTTGTATAGAATGATTGGTGATGGCCTGGATGCAGTTTTGTATGAACTGAGAAACTAAATGGAAGACACTAGGTCTGAATAAGAGAAGGAGAAAAACAGGTATTAAAGGGCTAAGAATTTGGAGGACCCAGGACATCCAATTAGAGAGTGAGTGCCCAAGGGGGTTCAGTGTAATTATTTGCTTGGTTGGTGAGTTTTTGGGCTCTATCCATGAGTTTTTTTAGGTTGTCGTATACCAGGCCAGATTGATTTAGGTAAAAACAATACTCTTCATTTAAAAATATAGAGTCTCCCTTTTTCAGCAGTGAGTAAGTCAAGGCCTCATGGTTTTGGAGGACAACCGCAACTGAAGAGTCAACCTGCGCCTGAAGGACTGATAAAGATTGTGATATGTCTGCAATGCTAGCAGAGAAGTCATTAGAGAGGCTACAGAAGGTTGTGGCAGAGGTTGAATTGCCTGCTATTCCAGTTCCAAGAGCAATAGTGGAGGCAGAAAATATTGGAGTGTGCCCTGCCAGCAAAGATCATCTATCCACTCCAAGAGGGAGTCGAGAGTGGCAGTTTGGGGATAGCACCATGAGATATCAGCTGTGATGGTTTGGAGGAAAAGTGGAAACTGGCAGTGTAAACAAGAGCAGGGCATTTATGAGTAGGTGAGAATGGTGAATTGGAAAATAGCAGGGATGAAAAAGCTTGTGAGTTGCAGTCCAAGAAGTGGGGGCGGGTGTGACTGCATAAAACCCTGTTGTAGAGAGTAAGGCAAGGAAGAACAGACCTAATAAAAATGAAAGGATGTGTTAGGCTTATAAGGGTTATTACTGTTCTTTAGAAATGCGAATGAGTTTTAAGGGAAGTAGGGGAGAGTACTCGCAACTTCCAGGAGGAAGAGGAGAGATCTGGCTGGCTGTCCAATGGACACAGCTTTATTCTGTAATGGTGAACTCAATGGGGAGATTCCTGTAGATGGACGGAAGTTGGGGTGCTATAGATGACTAGGTAGGGTCCGTTCCATCGAGGCTGTAGAGTTTCAGGGGTCAGACTCTTAACAAGAACCGATCATCCAGCTAGGGTGTCTTCATATGGCTGGGAATCTGGAGTAGGCAAGAGAAGATTAGCAGCCTGGCGAATTTCCTGTCTAGCCTGCTGGAGGACTGGAAGATAGTTGCCCAGAGGGCTGGTGTCTGGAATAAGATTGGGGCTGAGCAAGAAAGTGTGTCTATATAAAAGTTCAAATGGACTGTACCCTGTAGCATCTCGAGGGCAGGCTCTAATTCTGAGAAAGGCAAGTGGTAGAAGTACTGTCCAGTCCTTTTTAAGTTAGAGGCTGAGCTTGGTGAGGTGTGTTTTTTAAAGAGCATTAGTCCATTTTACCTTTCCTGAAGATTGAGGACAGTAAGGGGTATGAAGTTTCCACTGAATACCAAGAACCTGAGAGACAGCTTGGGTGATTTGACTAATAAAAGCTGGACCATTGTCAGATTGAATAGAAGTAGGGAGGCCAAATCAGGGAATTATATCTGTTAGAAGGGAAGAAATGACTGCAATAGGCTTTTTGGAACTAGTGGGAAAGTCCTCGAGCCATCCGGTGAAGGTGTCGATCCAAACCAGGAGATACTTAAATTTACGGACATGGGGCATATGAGTAAAGTCTAACTGCCAATCATGAGTTGAAGTAAATCCACAAGCCTGATGCTCAGGAAAAGGAGGAGGCCTGAGAAAGCCTTGGGGGCTGGTGGCATGGCAGACAGAGGATTGAGAGGTTATGGTCTTAAGGATGGACTTCCATGAAGAGAAGGAGATGAGGAGCTGCAGGAATCAAGCCACAGGCTTGTATCCCACATGGAAGTGGTCATGAAGGGAAGAAAGAATGGACTGAGCTTGTGAGGCAGGAAGAATGAATTTTCCATGATTTATAAGAACCACTTGCCTTGAGTTGGAAAAGACTGGTAGAGCAGGTTTTCAGAAAAGTAGGTGGGAGTGTTGGAGGAGAAGGAGAAATACTGGACCTCTGGAGTGAGGGCTGGAATATTAGTGGATGTGGAGGCATCAGCTATTTCTTTTGCCGTCCTGTTGGCATAGGCATTTCCTTTTGCAATAAGATCAGTAGGTTTCTGGTGCCCTTTATAATGAATGACTCCAGCCTTGGCTGGCAGGAAAGCAACCTTAAGGAGGGCCTTTGTTAGGGAGGCATTGATAATGGAAGAGCCTTGTGTGGTAAGGAAGCCTCTTTCAGCCCAGAAGGCAGCATGGTTATGGAGGATATAGAAAGCATATCTGGAGTCAGTATAAATGTCAATGTGCATTCCTTTAGTGAGAGAATGCGGTAGTTAAAGCAATCAGTTCAGCTTATTCGGAAGTGGTGGAGGGAAGTGCAGCAGCTTCAATAGTAGCGGTGTGGGACACGACAACATATCTAGCTTTAGCTGGTGAAAATTGATTGGGTTTAGAAGAACTGCCATCAATAAACCAAGTGTGGTCTGTGTTTGGAATTGGCAGAATAGGAATATGAGGACGGGGGAGGATGCTATGTTTATTAGGGAAATACAGTCAGGTGGTTCAGGACTTGTGCTGGGTGCTAAGTGAGAAAGTGGGTTGAAATCAGGCCTATGGATAATAGTTACTGTTGGAGTTTTAACAAAGAGTGAATAGAGCTGGAGGAGTTGAGGGGCAGACAATAAATGTGAAAGGTATGGGGAGGATATTAATGCTTGAAGGTTGTGAGAACTGTAAAGGGTAAGTGGAGCATAGCCTGTGATTTTGAAGGCCTCTAGAAGTATTAAAGCAGTGCCTGCCGCCCCATGCAGAGCCAGCCCAGAACTGTGAGGTCAAGTTTCTTTGATAGAAAGGCAACAGGTTGTGAGCCTGGCTCCTGTGTGAGGACTCCGGCAGCACAGACTTGTATTTCCGCTGTGTGTAAGGAAAAGGGATGGGACGAGTTGGGGAGTGCAAGTGTAGGAGCTGTCTCCAGGACCTTTTTGAGAAAGTGAAAGGAAGAATGGGGAAAAGACTTAGGATCTATGGGATTAGTTAAGTTATCCTTTGTGAGCTTGTAAAGTGGTTTTGGTTAGAATAGCAAAGCCTGGTATCCAGAGTTGGAAATATCCAACAATGCCTAAGAAGGAAAGGAGTTGTTTGGTGGTGGGGATTGGGGTCTGGGAGATTAACTGAATACGGTCTGCAGGAAGGGCACATGTATGTTGATGGAGGATTATACTGAGATAGGTAACACTAGGAGAAGAAATTTGTGCCTTGGAGGGGGATACTTGGTACCCCTTTCAGTAGAGATGTTGAAGAAGCAGGATAGTGTCCTGCTGGGAAGATTAGTAAGAGGGGCTGCAAAGGAGATCATCAAAATATTGAATAAGGTGAGAGGCAGATGGGGAAGAAGAAAGCAGATCATGAGAAGGGGCCTGGCCAAAGTAGTGTGGGCTGTCCCTGAAGCCTTGGGGCAGAACAGTCCAGGTGAGTTGTTGGGATTAGTGGGTGTCAGGGTCAGTCCAAGTAAAGGCAAAAAGAGGCTGGGAGGAGGGATGCAAGGGGATAGTAAAGAAAGCATCTTTGAGGTCGATAACAGAATAGTGAGTTGTGGAAAGGGTTATTGAAGATAGGAGGGTGTACAGGTTTGGCACTATAGGATGGATGGGAAGGACAATTTGATTAACAAGGTGAAGATCCTGAACCAACCTGTAAGACTTGTCCAGTTTCTGGAGGGGTAGGATAGGGGAGTTGTAAGGAGAATTTGTAGGCTTTAAGAGGCCATGTTGTAACAGGTGAGTTATAACAGGCTTTAACCCTTTTAAAGCCTGCTGTGGGATGGGATATTGGCGTTGAGCAGGGTAAGGGTGATTAGGTTTTAATGGGATGATAAGGGGTGCATGATCGGTTGCCAAAGTAGGAGTAGAGGTATCCCATACGTGTGGATTAAGGTAGGGAGACATAAGGGGAGGATGTGAAGGAGACTTTGAACTGGGGAAAAGGGTGGCAATGAGGTGTGGCTGTAGCCCAGGAATAGTCAGAGAAGCAGATAGTTTAGTTAAAATGTCTTGACCTAATAAGGGAGCTGGGCAGGTGGGGATAACTAAAAAGGAGTGTATAAAAGAATGTTGTCCAAGTTGGCACCAGAGTGGGGGAGTTTTAAGAGGTTTAGAAGCCTGACCATCAATACCCACAACAGTTATGGAGGCAAGGGAAACAGGCCTTTGTAAAGAAGGTAATGTGGAGTGGGTAGCCTCCGTATCAATTAAGAAGGGACTTACCTCCACTGTAAGTTACCTGAAGTGTCTGTGATGGTCCAGGAGGCTTCTGAGGCAATCAGGCAGCATCAGTCTTCAGCCACTAAGCCAAGAAGATCTGGGAAGGAGTCAGTCAGAGAGCCTTGGGGCAGAGTTCCAGGGGCTCTGGGAGTGGCTTTTGGGCAAGCTGGACAGTCCGATTTCGAGTGGGGACCTGCACAGATAGGACACGGCTTAGGAGGAATCCTGGGCTGCGGGCATTCCTTGGCCCAGTGGCCAGATTTCCGGCACTTGAAGCAAGATCCTGGGGGAGGAGGTCCTGGAGGAATGCCTGGCC